>NC_000002.12:17509755-17661270 GCF_000001405.40 Homo sapiens | reverse complement strand
GAAGAAATAAGCATCTGGACTCTAAGAAACTAGTTTATATTCATCCAGAGACTGTAACCCTGAATGAATGAATTACAGGAAAAATGAGGCCTTAAAGCAGTATGATTTCCCTTTTAAAATAGTTAAGAGTTATTTACAGAATGAGAGGAAATATGGAAACTTAGGACTTCTAAATGCAGAAAGAGTTGAGGCTAGACAAAGTATAGAAAATCAGACACTTGGGGGGTTGGCCAGGCATGGTGGCTCACGCCTGTAATCCCAGCACTTTCGGAGGCTGAGGTGGGCAGATCACCTGAGGTCAGGAGTTTGAGACCAGCCTGGCCAACATGTGAAACCCTGTTTCTACTAAAAATACAAAAATTAGCCAGGCGTGGTGGCATATGCCTGTAATCCCAGCTACTCGGGAGGTTGAGGTGGGAGAATCTC
This sequence comes from Homo sapiens, assembly GCF_000001405.40. Lineage (NCBI taxonomy): Eukaryota > Metazoa > Chordata > Mammalia > Primates > Hominidae > Homo > Homo sapiens. The sequence continues at coordinate 17,660,844 of NC_000002.12, read as the reverse complement.
TTGAACCAGGAGGTGGAGGTTGCAGCGAGCTGAGATTGTGCCACTGCACTCCAGCCTGGGTGACAGAGCAAGACTCTGTGAAAAAAATAAAAAAGACACCTGGGAGCCTTTTCCCTTCAGAACAGCAGCAGGGCTTAAACAGCTAATTAACATGGTAATTAAAATGGCAGTTGAGTGTAAGCTAGAACCAGTAGAACCCAGGCCCAGTTGATTAAAGGAAGCCCGCAGTTAGTCCTTTCTGAAGGAACCGCAGTAGCTGGTTAGGATATCAAGGTCAGCGAGGATTCAGGTTGCTGAGATACAATGTGTGTTTAAATGGAACTCAGTCGCAGAGGGTTTAGTTAAATGTGCACATCAGCTAATGGCTACCTTCAGCACTGGGGCATGCAGCAATCACTTATTTCCTTTTATCTTCATTCTTTATCCACTGTAACAGGTTGTATTTTCCAAAGATGGCCACAAGGATAAATCCCGCCCATGTTCTCCCAGAACCTTGCCTTACAGAGTCTAATTCTCTTCTTAATCTGGTTAGATTTGTAACTCTCTTATAACCAACAGAATGCAGTGAAAATGATACTTTGTAATTCCCAAGGCTGGGCCAGAAAGGCAATGAAAAGGAATGAAAGTCCCGCCTTGAGCTGTGGAATACCCATGCTGGAGCCCTGTGCTGGCGTGGAGGCAGTCCGACTTCCCTGAGGCGGCCACAATGAGAAAGCCTAAACTAGCCCATTTGAAGAAAGCCTGAGGCTGCATGGACAGCGAGAGATGCCCTGCCAGCCCTCGGTTGCTCCAGACCCTCTGTTTCACCATCTCCCTATAACTACCTGAGAGGTCCCAAGCCAGGCTGCCCAAGTGAATCATTTGAGAATTCATGGCCCACAAAAACTCAGAGATAATTCAGTCATCATTTTAGGTCACTAAACTTTGTAGTGATTTGTTATACAGTGATAGTAACTGGTATCTGGAAGTATAAGTACCAAAATAAAAATAAGCTATGTGGCACTCGGTGGAAGGGCCTCGAGACTGTGCATGAATCTAAAGGGCCTTGCAGAAGCTGTTAGCAGAGGCCTGAAGTCTCAAGGATATTTTTGGGGAGAGCTGAAGGAATTGAGAGTGGGAGAAAAGGTGTTTGGCAATACTGATGCCATGGTAACATGGAAAATAGGAGATGTACCCAATAAGTAAGGTGATCTAGCCAAGCAGATGTCTAGACACAGTATGAAAAGGACCCCTTGGCTGCTCTTTGCTGCCTGTGACACAATGTGAGAAGAGAGATGAATGAAGAAAAGCAATTGCATATAAAGGAGGTGAGACTATTTCTCATTCCCAGACTCTCTTCAAGGGGAAAACTGATTTTCAAATACAAAATGGCTTCAGTGCAAAAGTCCAATCCAGGATGGGACTGTAAGATCCTCTGTGAGGACCTCAGAAAGATGTAAGGCAGTATTTTTAGACCTTTTCAGACAGGCAGCAGTCTGCCTTCTAAAGATGTGCCTTTCAGGTTCCCTCCATTAAACAGTAGGGCTTCTCTGATTATTAGGGGTGTTCTCACAATGAGCCTCTGCTAATGGAGTGGATTTCATAAACTGACACTTGAGAAACCCATAAGGTTTTTAAAAGAATGTCAGCTTAGACCGAAAGACAAAGAGACAGTGCAAAATGAAGAGTCTTTCTACTCCTGGAATTGTATAGGCAGGCAGTAGACTGAGAAAACTACTCAGCTGTAAACACAATTTTTTTTTTTTTTAATGAAAAAGAAAGGATGGCCCAGAGGGTAGAAACAAACACAGAAAGCAGAGCGAAGAATCATGGAGAAAAAACCCCAGAGAGTAGGACCAAACCCTAGTCAAGGACCTTACAGGGTGTACCTGGCTGGAATTTCAGAACTGCCATAGACCAGAGATTGCCATGTGCTTTCCCTTTCCCCGTTTTTGGATAGTGTGTCTATTGCGGTTATTCTAAGCCTGTACCACCATTGCATATTGCATGTGGAAGGGAAGAGAGGAGATAATTCTCTCTCTCTTTCACAAGCCTTTGGATCATGAAGAATGTGACTCAGTGTGCTATAATTGAAGAACCACATCTGAGGAGCTTTATATGATGAGATCTTGGGCCTCAAGCCTGACCCTGAAGTCGTAATGGTATGAGACTTTTGTGGTTTCTTGGGAGGGGATGAACAATCTTGCATGGGAAAGGATGTGAACTGTGGCCACAAGGTAGACTGTAGCAGATTGTTTTCCAAAGATGATGGCAACAGTATCTTTTATGCCACATAATTCGTCTAGAACCTTGCCTCACCCCATCAAGAGATGGAGTCTGATTCCCTTCTTGAATGTGGATGGGCTAGCGGCTTTCTTGTTACCAGTAGAATACTGTGGAAGTGATACTTCGTGACTTCAGAGGCTAGGTCAGAAAAGGTGATGAAACTTCCGACTTTGCATGAATACTTGTGCTGGAGACCAGAGTCCCTTTGTAAGTAGTATGACTCCTCCTGAGACTGCAAGCGCAGAAATCCCCAATCAGCCCCCAGCTGCTCCAGGCCCATTTCAGCTCCAGCTGCCACCTGACTGCAACTGCATGAGAGACCATGAGGCAGAATCATCCATTTGAGCCCTTCCTTTTCAATTTTCTGGCCCACAGAAGCCAGGAAGAATAATAAAATGATTGTTTTCATTTTAAGCCACTAGGTTTGGGGGTAGGTTGTTATGGAGCAGTAATAACTGAACCCACTCCCATCACCACCCAATCCTATAGAAACCATTATAATATGGTATTTCCTTTTATTTTATGTGACCTTAGAGTTCTTTTGTGAGAATGCATCTTTTCATTTATGTATGATTATAACACTGGGAAATATATTTTGCTCTTTTTCCCCCCATTCAGCATTTTTTAAATGTCCCTGTCCCTGTGTCCATCAGTCTGTTGTTTCCAGCTGCTGTGTAGTATGCCATAGGGTGTATCCACCGTATTTTCCTTACCTGTTTCTCTAGCAACAAACCGCTAGATTGCCTCCGATACCCACCTCGCAACCATCCTTGGATATGTCCTCTTATAGCCCTCAGTGGGAGTTTCTTGGGATAATACACCTGGAGTGGGAATGCTGGGACAGAGGGAATAGTATACTTCTAGCTACCCGCTGCTGGCCATCTCTCCAGGATCACTGCACCAGTCCACACTCTTACAACAGCAGGGACTTAGGCAAATAACAAGATGCTTGCTTGCTGGCCCAGCTTCTACATTTTATTTATAAAAACAACCAGTGAGTCTGCTAGAGGGTTTGTTTTCCATAAGCGCCCCAGATACAGTTCACTTCGTTTCACGAAGTTCTTTCTTCAGATGTCACCTCACCAGCCTATAGGGAAGGGCCACCAAAGTATCCCATCCCTCTCCTCCCTGTTATCCTGCCCTGCTCTTCTTCATAGGTATTATAATTCGCCATTTGTCTGTGTGTGTATTTAGTGTGTATCCCTCTCCACACAAGAATGATGTTAGGTGCACAGTAGGTGACCAGTGAAGAATTGTTATGAATGAATTACTCAGGGCCTGGTTTAACCGGGTGCCATTCTGAAGCAGTCCACATCTCCTCACCTACCCGTCCTCACTTAGTGAGGAAGGAGTCTTGAGATGTACTGAGCCTCCCTGATCTCTCCCTGCCTACAGTTTGGGCTCAACATGCACAAGGGTGAAGGGTATTAGGACATTCTATTCACTTGTAGGACTATCTTGTCAGGGCAGAATTTTGGTTCTATCAGTGTTTCAGGACCACTGGTGTCCTAAGTGTTTGTAATGAGGTCACCATTTCTTGTTAAATGAATGAATAGAATCATTAGACCCTAGTTTAGTGTTATGTAATGATCCTAAGACAAATAAAGAATGGTAAAAAACGAATTCGGTAAAAAACGAATTTGATAAAAAGTACTTGAATAAATAATATAGCACTAAACTGTCTGTTACTAAAGCCACTAGCTATATGTGGCAAATTACACTTAATTACAGTATAAAATTCAGTTCCTTAGTCACGCTAGCCATACTTGAAGTGCTCAGTAGCCATATGTGCAGTTATAGCTAGCGTGCTGTGCAGATGTAGACCTTCCCATCATCAGAGAAAGTACTACCGGGTAGTGCTGTGTAAAAAACTCAACTCTCTAGGGGGGCATGTTCTGAAAATGCAAACCTGCTTTTAGAGGTTTTGATGGAATCTCTTCTGCCTCCTTCAAGATCAAAAGAGTCAGAGTTCTGTTCTGTTATTAAAAATAGCTACTTCTGTTATTTTTTGCCTACTTTAGATTTGGGAAGACAGATGTCTTCTTTCCTACTGACTTATGTTGGGGGACACCTGCAGCCTACCTGCTGTGTGTGCACAGCTCCACGTAGTTGCACTGAACATACGTTGTTAGCACCAAAGTCACACTGAGATAAAATTTATTGTCATAGAATGAACATTTTTTTTTCGGAATGAACAAATCTGTTTTACTTTTCACATGCCATGTTCGTTGTCCCTCTTTTGGGAGCCTGGATGAAAAGTTGGAAAGTTGCTTTTTTCCCTTTTGTTGTCATTAATTCTTCAAATTCCAAAGTTGTATATTTAAGAGTAGATTTAGTAAGTTGTTGCTAGCAACTGCTGCAATTTTAAAATTATAAAATAAGAATTAGGGGGAAAATCAATTGTTATAAATTTATTTGGGACATTTATTGCCACCACATTGGAAGCCTTTGAAAATTCAAACAGAAACCAATACACTTCCATCTTTTTTACTTTCGATAAATAATATCTTTGTGTATATGTATATATAGATAGATATACTTAATCAATAAGTCATTTAGCAGGGTTTTTACATTTTATACTGCATTCATCCAAAACAGCTCTTTCCAGATCGATAGGATGCAAATGAGGTAAGAATTAAGGCAAACCCAAAAGGCATGCAAATGTAGTACATTTATATTCACTGATAATACAAGCTTCTGTGGTGTGTGGACCAGACACAGGAGCCAAGGGTCCCTCTGTGTCTGTCCAATAGTATTTTACAGGAGGGTAGTGACATAGCTTATAATTAAGTTACATTACCATGGGGGTCTCAGTGCTACTAACATTATGTAATCAAGGAGATACGAGCATTAGCAAAACATGAACAAGAAGTCATATAACTCTTTGCAGCACATTTCTGCCCAGGCTTTGGAGGAAGAGGGATTTTTATGAAATGATATTACACATATCACATTGTGGCAGGTTGTTTGTTTTGTTTTATATATGCTTTTAAAATTCATTAGCAAATGACATTCTCATGCACACGAGTGTTTCAAACACAAGAAGCAAGTCCATTTATAGGTAGTCCAAGCAATATTTGTGTGTGTGTGTGTGTGTGTGTGTGTGTGTGTGTGTGTGTGTGTGAATAGCTGCAGACTGAATGGAACATTGAGACTTTTGTGCAGTCCATAGCATTGACATCAGCTCATTTCTGGATGTCGCACTGCAGAAGTAATACAATGGAAGGGTCGCTCTTTGCAGCTTCTTTGAATTCATCCAGTGTAATCTGGTCATCTTTGTTCTTATCCATCTTGCTGAAAATCTTGTCTACTCGCTGCTCAGGCGTCAGGCCATCCTCATTCATTTTCATCATGATCACAGTGCCTACCATTTTGTAGATAGCCTTGGGGAAAAAAGCATTGTAGGTGATATTACCAGAAACCCAGGAGGACAGAGAGCTCTTCTTGCCTCCCTTTCACCTGACGGGATCCCACCCATCCTCCAAGCCTCAGCTTCCCTTTCCCCAGAGGAGTTTCACTCCTTGTGCTGCAAGTTTCTGTGACAACCCATACCATTTCCCCCAACAGAATACATCTCACCTTTATTAAAATAACTGCTTTGTCTTCCCCACTAAAGAGTATGTTCTATGGAGCTAGGAAGCACGTGCTCCTGTAAGTCCAGGGCTTGGTATGATGCCTGGCACATCACAGGTCTCAATAAATACTGATCAAATGAAAAAGCTTTAGCTGCTGGAGCGTGGGATGTGGGGCAAGGGGCAGTAGGAGGGAGGGCCAGGTGAAGTGTTGAAAGATGAAGCTGGAGAGAGGGAAATGAGAAGCAGATCACCGAGTTTTCCTAGGATAAGATAAAGAATTTAACTTTATTTCAAATAAGTCCTTAAATGCTATTGAATAAGAGATGACATAATCAAATATGGGTGAGCCTTGTGACCAACTGGATATAGAAGAATTTGGGGTGGCTTCCAGGTTTTTGGCTGGAGGAAGTGGTTAGAAAGGGTGGCTCAATGGTGAGATTAGAAATAATGGATTAGGAATAGGTTCAGGGAGGAACATGATGGGCTCAGTTTTAAACATTCTGCATCTAGGTGCAGGAAACAGTCAAAAAGCACTAGCCTTGGGGATTTAGGAAAAGAAGAATTGTGGGGCCAACTGATTAGAAACTTAGAATCTAGTAAGACAACCAAGCCAGTTGTACCATTAAAATTGAACTCTGCAAGAAGTTAGTTTAGGGAGAGTTGTGGAGCAGGGACTCTGTTTATAAGTTAAAGAATAGAGTGAGAAGATTTCAATTATCCAGACCAACTAACTGTATACAATTAATTCTTGATATGAAATTTCCAAAGTATAAATTATTTCCTTTCTTAGAAAAGTGCTTTAAAAATAAATGCCCATCTATACAAAGACTTGCATGAGAACATTCATAGCAGTATTATTAATAGCCAAAATGTGGAAATGACACAAGTGCTCATCAACTGTAAACAAATAGGATACAGCTATACGGTAAAAAAATATATACTATTTTAGCAACAAAAGAGAATGAATATGCTACAGCATGGATAAATCTCAAAAATATAAAGAAGCCAGACATGTAAGGCCACATGTTATGTGATTCCATTTGTGTCAAATGCCCAGAAAGGGAGCCAAATCCATGGAGACACAGTGATGTGTTGGTTGCCTGAGCCTGGGGTGGGAGCGGGCCTTTGGGCATGAGGGATCTAACTGGGGGAATAAAAATGTTTTAAATTTACATTATGGTGATGGTTGCATATCTCTGTACACTTAGTAAAAATCATTTAATTTGTACACTTAACATGGGTGAATTTATGGTCTGTAAGTTATAACTCATAAAGTTGTTTTTAGAAATGCCAATCAGAGCAAACCACTAACTAGAAAGTGCTTTATTTAACAAGTTAAAATGTCCACTGAGATAAAATATTTTGTGCGTATTTACTTTTGTAGCTAGATGGTATTGATGTATCATGGAACACTTTAAGAAAGTTGTCTCTAAAAGAGGCAGACTTTCCGAAATTTCATTTTGTGGATAATTGGTAGACAAGGTCCTGATTAGTCTAGTAGCCAGAGTGGTGCACAAAGGAAAAGCACGGAATGTGTACTGTCTGGAATTTAAAAAGAGACAAATGGCCCGTACACATGTAAGCTGCCACTCTCACCCTGGCCTTTAAAAGGCGAAATCAAAAGCCCTTACATGAGGCAGTGGGTATGAAGGCAGCAAAACAAGTGCACTATTAATAAAGTCAGGGTAATAAGAAATGTAAACACAAGAAGTCCCTCCTGGACCTCAGGAAGCAACTCTGAAAATGGCAGGATCTCATTAATCGTATCCATGACACAGCCCTACAATTGGGACTGTGAACACGACAACCAAGAAGGGCCGTTTCAGATGCAGACTTTTACATATCACAAAGGCCGGGCATGCCAGACTCGGAACTCCGTGTGAAACTGCCCCTGTGGTCCCCAGCCCTGATGGACCTGTACTGACTTGCCTTTCACTGTAAACTAGAAAACTGGATAAAAATAAAAGAAATAGCTGTTTTCAGACTTTACAACTGACAGTGCAAGACTGTAATTCCTAAGAGGTGGGAAACAAAGTAGATGAACCCTATGATCTCAGCCCAGAGTCCTTCCTGGACCGCAGCACAAGGAGAAGGGTCCCAAGCAGGGCTGACTCACCAACTGGAGGAGACAACAATTGGAGGAGGAAGGTGAAGATAGCCAGAAATTTCGGGGCAGAGGACCAGAGAGGGAGCCAGGCAGAAAGAAAGCCTCAGAAATCTGCCTAGGAGGACTCCTCAATGTTTATCTGGAAACTAGGCTGCACACAGAGGATAAAAGTTCACAAAGAAGTTTCTGAACAATAAGCTGAACAACTCTTGGTGCTCACACAGGCTTGCAGAGCATTCTAGTTCTTAATGCAAAGAGCTTGCTAAATACCTTGGCATTCAGGAAGCCTGTTGTCCATTCTTCTTCTTTTTAAAGCAAAGCTTCTGGCAAGAGTTTTCTGCAGTCACTGTCTTTACTTCTTCCTCTCCCATTCTCCTGGGCTGCTCTATTTAGGATTTTGCCACCAACTCCTCTGAAACTATTCTCAGCTGGTTCACCTATGGCCTCCAGGTTTCCAATTCCAATTGTCAGTGATTACTTTTCTCCTTTTACTTCTTTTATCAATAGCATTTGACATGATTGCACATTCCATTCCTTCCCCACAAAACAGTGTGTTTCCCTTCCAGGACTTCTCACTTTTCCTTTTTTACTTTGACCTTTCTGGCAATTCTTTCTCCATCTCCTTTACTGATTGTGCCTCATGTTCCTCACCTCTAAACATCAGGTTGCCCCAGGACCTCAGTCCTCTGGAAACCTCTTTTCTATTTATATTCTCTGTCTAGTTATACTCTGATATGTCCTCTTTCACTTAAATACCTGAATAAGTATCACAACACATGGGGCTGGTTCCCACCAGCCAGAGTAGAGAAACCTCACTAAATGTATGAGAAAATCAGTAAGAACCCCAAAATGGTCACAAATTGGGCACTGGGCTAACTTACTACAGAAAACCTACTCTCCATCTGCTCTAAAAGCTTAAAATTATAAAACTGCCTCGAAAAGATCACGCTAATTTACATATAACTTACCTGCCTGTCAAAACTAATCTCAGCACTCTATAAATGAAGACAACAAAATACAGACACTCTAATGCAACATTCATAATGTCCAGGAACCAATAAAAATTATTACACGTGTCACGAAGCAGGAAAATGTGACCCATAATCAGGTGAGAAATCAATCCATAAAAGCTCTGAATAGAAGAAAGGAAGAGCTAGAAGTGATGGGGAGAAACGTGGAAGAACTAAGAGAAAGAAAAGCAGCCGCTGACAGCCAGGAAATGGCCCGGACTGCCCACCGGGCCTTGGTGCTGCCGGGAGCTGGCCCAGCCCTCACAGTCAGGTCTCACACCAAACATAACCAATGTCACAAAATGCCAGTGACCATGATGGAGCAAGGCAAAAACAAGACCACTCTGTCATTAAGTCTGAACACAGACACAAAACACCAAGCATCCCTGCTTCCTGCTATGGTGAGTGACCACTGCTTCTTCACCCGTTAAGAGCATTGCATTGGTCTGTGTGCCCTCCTCCTAGGTATCTAATCATAGAAGTGTCCCCACTCCCTGACAGTAACCAATCCACAGTAAACCTCTGCTTCTCCGAACCCTCCCCAAATCACCCTCCCAAAGTCCAGATCCTAGAAGTCCTTTCTAACACCCTCCTGCTGAATTGCCCCAAGATTCCCTCACTGCAAGCAGTAATAAAGTCAACTTGTGTAAGTGTGGGTATGTCCTTGGGGACTTTGGCTGAAGGGCATTGACAAGGATTAGAGAGAAAAGTTTTGGAGAGGAAGGGTTTTGGTGGCCAATGAGGGGAAATGACAAGAAGTCAAAGAGGAGAAAAAACTTGGAAAAACCTACTCTGTAGGGAGCTTATAGAGAGACCTTGGAGGGAGCCAAGTTAAGTGTGGAAGATGGACAAAAGATTAAAGAGTGAGAAAGATGAGAAAATCAAGCCACATGTTCAGAATTATTGTGCTGTATCTTTTCTGATAACCTGCTGGAAAAAATATATATTCAATTGAATGAAGGGAACACAAGTAAAGAACTAAGATGTTAGTTTGCTGGGTATATTTGAAAGGGAGTGGGCATTGAAGATAGAAGGGGAGAAGCCAACGGAGAAGAAGAGACTGAAGATGTGGAATGAGAGGGTGTGCAAGTGAACGAGGCCAGCTTCCCAGGCAGGGAGTTGATGGGTGACTTCTCTCTGAGGCTGGGAGGAGAGTGAGAGTCCTGAGGGGAACTTGGGGCTTTGGCTTCTGTTTCTTGCAATCATCCCATTTTCTTGTGGGGATCCACCCTGCCTGATCTCAGCTCTTGGTGTCTGGATGGGGCATCCCCCCAGCTCCAGGATGGAGCACCTGGCTCTACCTTCAGCAAGTGATACCTTTCTCTCCTTGGTCAGAGTGGCTGGTGCAGGGGTGGGAACCCATGCTAAGACAGTCAATCAAAGGAAAGCTACCGAACCATGCATCTGCTATTGCATGCCTGCCAGGCTCCAGGCTGGGTCTGGGTTCTGGGCATGCAGCCGTGAGGGCAGAGCCTCCTCAGAGAGCTTGCATTCTGCCATATATTCCACTCAACAAGTTAATCTGGGGCAGGGACAGATGTTGGGACAAAACCCCTCTTGGTAAGGGTTAGATTGCTTTGGTGTGAGGGTGGAGTGGGCATATTTGGGAAGGTATGCAGGAAGGAAGACCTCTCTGGGAGATGGGATAAGACCAGAGATGGGAGCAAAGTGAGGGAGGAGCCCCCAGAGGCCAGGGGAGGGCATGCTGGGCAGAGAGAGAGGAAGTGGAAGGCCCTGAAGTGGAACCGGGCATTAGAAGAAAACCAAGAAGACCTTCACATTGGGAATGCAGTACGCAGTGGGTGGCGTGGCAGAGGAATCCTGGGTTACTCACAAACACAATGGGCAAAGCCTGCTTGCTGTGGAATGACCAGAACCTGGAAGGATGTCCCGGGAGCCCCTGACAGCCTCGGGTCCCCACTAGGCGCAGCTGGAGTGAGGCAGAGCAGAGATACACCAAGTGCCAGAGAAACAGCCCATGACATCCTGTGTGCACAGTAAGACAGGTTCGTGGGAGATCCAGTAGTGAGTGAATGGCAGATGACAATGCCACCGTCACGACAGTACGGGCCCCATGGCTTGGTTCTGGGACCTCCCCAGCACTGTGCTGCAGCGGGGACAGAAGCAGGAGAAGTCCAGGCGTGGTGTGCAGCTGGCAGGGCTCGAGCAGAGAGAGAAGAAGCCACTAAGGCCTGCACCTAGGAGGCTGCCGTGGGGTCTCCTTCTGTGCCCACCACCCGCCAACCACACCCCGGGCCTCACCTCGATGATCTCCAGCATCTCCACTCGGGTGATCTTGCCATCACCATCCAGGTCATACATATTGAAGGCCCAGTTCAGCTTCTGCTCAAAGCTGCCCCTGGAGGTGATGGACAGAGCGCAGATGAACTCTCGGAAGTCAATGGTGCCGTCCCCATTCTTGTCGAAGGTTCGGAAGGCATGCTGGGCAAACTTGGAGGCGTCTCCATAAGGAAAGAACTGCAAAGGAGAACACGCGCAGTCAGGTGTCGGGAGGGGATGGAATCGGGGCGACGAGGTAGGTTCCTAATGACGGCATCACAGGTGCTCCTGGGCGTTGTCGGAGCCTCACCCATTGGAGAGCAGTTTGGCCTGACTGTCAAGGGCAAGGGCAGGCATTAGGGGAGGCTTTCTCACAGCAGGTGCTCAGGTACAGGCATCTCATTGTTTCCTGTGGGTGAGGCTGGTGACATGTGGCTTTCAGTTGATGGGGCTTGGAATCGGTCAACAAGCACCACCTGATGCTAGTGTTGCAGCATCTCAGCTCACTCCCCCCAGGAACAGGACTGAGGCAGACAGCAGTTTCTCTCCCCACACAGGTGGTGCTACACGAACTTCAATGTTCCTCTAGATATGAGAATCTGGCTTCATCGCTGCCCAGTAGGGCCAGAGGGAGGGTGCCCAGACCTGGTTTCTCCTGCCACCAGCCCTCGTCCTGGGCCCACACTTATCCCCTCCCTGGGTGAGGTTCCAGTTTCTAACTTCTTTTTGCAGGGACTTTTCTTTTGCAGAACAGACATTTAAAACTCATTAAAAATAGAACATGACTGGGCTTATTTTTGAGAGACATAAAGAGGTTTCTTCACAGAGCCAACTGTCACCAGGGGTGTGTGGGAGGCAGAGAATGGACACAAGGAGGAAAGGGAAGCATAGACCACAAGGAGGGAAGGCCATGGGGAATCAGTAGGTGGTGGCCTCAGTCCCCTTGGACATAAGCCTAGGCCAGTCACAAACAGCAGGTAGTTCTGATAATTAACAAGGAAGAACTGCAAAGCCCCAAATACAACCAAAAACAAACCATGTGCTATTTTAAAGCAGAGAAGTTACGTATGTATTTCTGGATGAATAAATCTGGGTTCTGGGCTCTATAGGCAAGCACTACAAGGTCTATAGAAGATTACTGAGGTTGCTCATTGATATCCCTTTTCCTTCGTAAGTTTTGCACCTGCTAAGTGGACCAGGTGAGCAGCCTTCATACAGATGGCCTCTTTGCCCACTCTGGGCTATCTACCTCGAGGAGCCCTCGGTCCGTCTTTCTCACTGTGCATCCTGACCTGGGTCCTGCAGAGCTCTGCTGCCCACTCCTCCTGCACCTAGAAGCACATTGGAAGGTAGAAAATTTCCCTCCAGACATAAGATATGCTTTAACACAGAAGGATTCTATACATGGGGCCCAGGGAACAGCCAAGCATTCCAGGAGAAGGAAAGTACCCATTACTTATATTTTGGTAGTACCCATTGCTAGGCACAATGATCTGTTCCAGAGACTATTCCTATATAACAAATCACCCCAAAAGCTAGTGGCTTAAAATGACAACAATCATTTTATTATCTCACGAAATAAACATTTGAGACCCATTTCTTTTTTTCATCAAACATATCTTTTCCTGGTTACAAAGGACAATGTTCTCTTATGTTCCCTCATTCCCTAAACATATCTTTCACTTCTCTTATCCTTCATTTTTCATTATTCGTCAGAATTCACTGCGTTCTTATTCATGTCGGGCCTCGTCTTGGGTGCTATGGACTCAGAGAGCAATACCTCGAGGTCTCTGTGTTCCGAGACTGCACAGTTAATGGGGGGACTTTACTCAAAATTGACTTGGTCATGTTACTTGATAAGAACTAGAACAGAGGAGAGGGCAAAGTATTACTAAAGCTCAGTAAATGAGCTGTTAGTTTCAAGGAGGGAGTTGTAGAGGGAAGGACTTTCCTTCTTCTTTGAACAGCTCAGCATGACCCCAGCCCCTCACCCCCCAATGCTACTTAGGTGCTTGGTACCTGAGGACAGGCTGCCAGGCGCTGAGTTTTGAACTAAACAATGTTGAATCTGAAAACTTCTAAATAGGCAAGTTTGCTCCTCCTGTGCCTTATGCATGAGTGGTCCTGGTCCCTTTCTAGAGGGTACTTTGGCTGATGTGTTCATCTGCCTTGTGATTAGGGGCCTGGGTGGGGCTGGCACCTGTGAACTGACTTGGAGTGGAGCAGAGCGAGCCCCTGGACAGGTTCCCAAGTCCCCTTAGTGCTGTTTACCCGCCAGCATTTCTATGTGCAGTTGGCATGAGACCAGTGGGCACGAAACCTCCATTCGTGTAGGTTTCTGGCACTGTAATGCTTTAACTATCTTATGTCTCACAGCCTACTTTTAGGTTAAGGGATAGTTGACAGTTTTATCTAAAAATAACTGGGCACCTTGGGTCAGTATATTAAAAATTAATTTAGGTCTAAAAAACCTTGAGAGAAAAATCAATTGTAAATTTTGAGCTATAAAAGTTACATGTGTCTTGCAGAAGGTCTATATACTGACTTTTACAACCAACATGTTTACTTTAGAACTGAGTGTGTGCTCAAGAGCCTTCAAATTTCTGGAGGGGTTGTTTCCTTTAGGAAATTTATCCTATCATGTTCTGAGTGCTTTGAGTTTTTCTAACTAGGGACATGCTCCTTATTTTGACAAAATAATTCAACTCTAGATGGATCATCACAGAGAAATGAAGCTGCATTCCCTTCAATTTCTTAGGAAGAATTCAGGGTCTTGAACTCAGATTTACTTCTCCTGGAGGACAACAGGGCCTGAAAAGCACAGTATTTTTCTTTTTTTGCGTACTCTTGTTCAATTTCTTTTTAACTCAATGTATTTTGTTTCAATTCTTGTATTAAATTTTGACATGGAAGTAATATTCGATGGCAGTAATAATCTATAAATAATATGACAGATACAAAGAACTTTGAGGTTGAAAAATTAAAAATGTATATACACACTCATATGTATATGTATATGTGTGTGTGTATGTGTATTAGTGTTCTCTCACTTAATTTTCATAACAAAATCTGACATTGTACTTTCCATTTTGTGGATGAGGAAGTGGAAGCCTAGAAAGGTCAAAGGCATTTGCCTAAGATTCCTGGCTGTCTGCAGCAGAGGCTGGATTTGAATGCAAATCTGTCTGACCGTTTCTGCCACACCTTGAGATTTATCTTAATCAAGTGTTAGCCGAGGAAATAAACTTAACTCCACATTTGATGAAGCAACCAAATGTGTTGCATTATGTAATTCTTAGCATCCATTGCCTCTGAAGCTTGAAATTCTCTGCTCTGAGTATTTTCGCCACCTTCTGGCAGCACATATGTACTGCAAGGAAATTACTGAGATTCTAACTGAGTTATTTTCTGACTCATTCTTTAACTCAACATTGAGAGCAGCTGCTATGTGTCAAGGACAGTGTTAGGTGCTGGCAATAAAATAGAAGAAAGACATAGAGCATTAAGGAGTGGGGGAAAATAGGCATTAATCAAACCACCATATAAAGAAGTATAAAATTTTACTGTGATAAATTACAAGTGTATGGAGCTGCAAACAAAAGTAATGGACATGATATTGTCAGTTTGAAGCTTTAAAATATTCGCATGTGGTCCTTTCCCCCCATCCTAATATACAGGCTGCTGACAATTCATTGTTCTTCATCATAGCCTAGAGTTTCAGAGTCTGAGACTTCTTGGGATTACACAGACCTTGACTGCTCCCGGTTGTACTCCATACCCTGTCCCTGAACCGAACAACCTGCAGAAGAAAACCCCAGGAAACACTTGAGGTCTTTTCTTTCCCCAGGCAGACAACAGGAGTCTTTGCATGGTTTAACCAGCTTCCTCCTGGCCAGGGCAGGAGCTTTTTCTACAGACAGTGGGCCCCACTCTGCATTTCTTTCTTTTCAGTAATCTATCTAGTTGTGAATATCAAAATGTTTGTTTCCTCTAAGAGGTGGTGCATGAGAACCAGACACATTAGCCTCTGGGCCTCCAGGGCCCCACCCAGCGTGGGCACAGAAAGGCTGAGTGATGATCTACAAACACTGTGCCTCTCTCCAGTGACACATTTCCTCTGCACCCCTATCCCAGCCCTCCCCAGCACCATTGCTGCCTGGATAGCTTATCCTTCCAGAGAAAATATTGCAGCATTTCCCACATGAATCTCTCCCCTCCAAAGATCCCTGGTTCACTGCCTCAATGTGATGGAGGAGGCAGCTCCCCAAGAAGTTCTCCAGCCCAACCTTTGGGTGGGGGTGGGGTGGGCACAAGCAAGGCCTTGGCCAGGACTCACCCCTGCCCATGCAACAGCTGATGTGCTGTGTCAGGAGGGGTGGCAGCAAGGCTACTTCGGAGGATGCCTCTCTCCAGGGCTCTGCCCAAGGCCCAGCTCCTGGCTAACACTGGGCAGCCCTCAGACCTCAGAATAGATTTCTGCCCATTAGTCTGCTGGAAATAGAGCTCTTGATAGGAAATAGGGCTTCAAAAAACCAGAAGAGTATTCTTGGACTGCTCCGCTGCTCACAGTCTTGGAGAGGTCTGCCATCCAATCCCGCAGAAGACATAGTTGCTTTTAAAACACCCTCACTTGGGTCAGTTTTGTTTCTTTTGTTCTCAAATTTCAAAGGCCTATTTTGCCTGGCCTATGAATATACAAATACAATCACCCTGAAATACAGTTGCTCAACCTCCAAGGTTATCTCCCCTTACCCTGCTGGAATTAGCTAGTGGCTTCTAGCCTGTTCTGGATGACCTGGTCTTGTACCTACCTCTTCAGGCCCTGCTACTGAGACAGTAGTTATTGTTTCATGAGTGTGTCTCGTGGAACAAGGCTCTAAGCAGGTCCTTCTCACAGGCCACCCCAGCTGATTCTTTCAGCAAGGGTAGGACTTGCAGGAGGGTCATTTTTCTGGGGTAAGTAACTGGCATGAGGTCACATCACTAAGGGGTGCAGGAGGATCAAACTCAGTGCCATCTGAGTCAAAGCCTTGGCTCTTCCCAGCACCAACTGCAGTCTCCTTCTCCTCCCACACCAGCCCTGCAGACAGACCCTCGGCCTGTCTCTTCCGGGGTCTTGACCTTCCTTGGCTACACTGTATCTCAGAGGCTCCCTAAGGGGCCCCTCGTGCACTGTCAGGCTGCTCTTTGCTTTAGGCCTACTGGGCTTGTCTACCTTCTGTGGGAACCACCAAGGACAGGAGCTGTTCAGATGAGCTCACCTCTAACTCCTTGTCCTGGGGGCTGAGGCCTTCACGTGGGGTGGTCGGGCCTTTCCAGCAGACCTCCTGCCGATGGGCAGAAGGTTAGTGTTGGGGTCTCATGTGCCCTTAGATGCTGACCATATGCCTTTGAGAGGTCATTTGATATTTGGTTTTGGCTTTCAGCTCTTCACATCCATGAGGCCTCCCCCAGGAATAGGACCCCATTGTAGTGGTACATTCATTGCTTCCTAACTTTCCCTACACTGAGGCCCTTCCATCCATCGTCACCACAGCTCCAGGGGAAATTTGCACACCCATGTTTGGTCAAGTTTCCTTCCCACACCCGACAATAGCATCTAATTGTTCTCAGAAGAAGGAACGAGACTGTTTCCAGGCCTCAGAGACCTTTCTGTGTCTGGTCCCCACCTCTGTGTCCAGCTTCTGGTCCCCCGGCTCCCTTGTCCCGGGGCCGCTTTCACTCCCTGGGGCCTTGCTGGCTCTCCCTCCCCTGCCACAGTCATGGGACCATTGCCGTGCTGCTGCTGTGGTCTGAAAGTTCCTTTGCTGACCTTGGCCCAGTGAACCCCTGTTCCTTCTTTAAACCTTGATTTGGTCTGGGTCAGACCCCTGTTACACACATGCATGTCACTGTAGGGAACATTTGTTACAATTGTGAAGAAATGTTCACAGGATTGTGGATTCGTGCCCTTTTTCCCTAGTAGACTGTAAGCTAAACGGGGCCGAGAATGACCTGGTTTTGCCATTGCTGTAATCTCTGGTGCCTGGTACAGGGCCAGGCACACAGTAGGTGCTCAGTAAATGTCTGCTAAATGAACAAGTGACTCAGCAAACAGATCGTTTCGAGGCCTTGAGAGACAGGGCAAATCTACCCACTGACCAGTAGAAGGGTTGAAATGTGCTCTGGAAGCTGCCTGAAGCCGGCTGTGCTGCAGAAGGCTCACCACTTGGCCTGCAAGCCCATTCGCATTACTACTTAAGCAGATGACTCATGAGGAGATGAATCAGCCCAGAGCAGCACTTGCACTTTAGTCACATGGATGGGAAGACGAGAGACATTTTCCCTTAATTAGAAATGGTGAGTCCAAAAACTGTTTTCTGCCAAAGTTTTCATTCAACAGATACTCACAGAAGCCCAACTGGTGCTGGGCTCCATGCTGAGCTTTGTGAGGGCAGGAGGGAGAGTGAGGAGAGGCAACCACGCATAAGAAGATAGAAGGTCTGGTCTCTGCCCTCAAGCAGATGTGATAAGCCAAAGGTAGGTGCAGCCTGACACATGAGCTCCTTCCACATGTAGGCTCTCCAGAAGGAGGTTAAGGACACCCTCGCCCACCCCCACCCTCAAAGGGTTCTCACAGATCCTAAGGTTGCTTCTCAGAGCTGCCCCATCCCTTGTCCTCTGGGTGACAACTTCCATTTTCTATCATCACTGCTTCTTCAACATTACAGTCTTTATTACAAAAGGTAGCCATTATTAGCCTGTGATTCTCGTATAATTACATCTATTTGAGAATAAAATTACTCTTGAACTAAATTTCTAGAGAAGGGGCTTTCGCCTCCCGGGACAAGATAAGCAATTTTCACTTATGTCTTAGGCCAGATCTCTCTGTTTACACAGACTGCCCCAGAAAGGTCATGAACTCCCAGAGAAGTTCTGCTTTTTTATAAAAAATGAGAATGAGGCAGTAGAAATCCAACCTCCTTACCTTCCAGATCTCCTTCACATTAGAATGCTCACCGGCTGGGCGCAGTGGCTCATGCCTGTAATCCCAGCACTTTGGGAGGCTGAGGCGGGCAGATCACAAGGTCAAGAGATCGAGACCATCCTGGCTAACACGGTGAAACCCTGTCTCTACTAAATATACAAAAAATTAGCTGGGCATGGTGGCGGGTACCTGTAGTCCCAGCTACTCTGGAGGCTGAGGCAGGAGGATGGTGTGAAGCTGGGAGGCGGAGCTTGCAGTGAGCCAAGATAGCGCCACTGCACTCCAGCCTGGGCAACAGAGCTAGACTCTGTCTCAAAAAAAAAAAAAAAAAGGAATGCTCACCATGGGAAAAGCCAGAATCATCTCTATGTTAAGGATGAAATTATATTTTGTTCTTCATTGTATCCTTACTGCTCTCGAATAAGGCTCTGGTATGCTGTAGGTGCTTTATAAGTGCTACTATATTCGGATGGGTAAAGGAAGCAATTTACTGCAGAGGAAAAGATGCTGGTTGAGTGACAGAGTATCTGGGTGTGACTAAGGTCACGTCATCTTGTCTCTTGGGACTTTCGTTTCCCTGGATATAAAATGACGGATAAATCAGATAAGCTTCAACATTTCATTTAGCTATAATATTTTATTTAGTTTTTCTGATTCTGGAAGTAAAATTTTTAAAAAAGAAGGGATGTTACTTTCATGACTTTGGATTTGTCATTGACCAAAGCACCTACCATTCCCTTTGTATCTAATGTCCTAATTACAGGATCAAACTTCGAAGGGTGAATCTCTCTCTTCTCTTTCTCCCTTTCTCATATTTCTATCTCTATCCCTATGTCTATGCATAAGTCTATGTCTATACAACTACATCTAGATCATATCTGTTTCTCTATTTCCATCTCTGTACCTATAAGTAAGTTTAAGTATCTATCTCTGGTCTCTCTATCCCTATTTCTATCTCCATTGGAAATGTCACAGACCCTGAAGGGTACTTACTGATTACTCAGACTTTAAAATCAAATGAAGTCTCTTTTTATTTCTGTCTAATACACCATTTGCACTATAAATCGGGTCAATGGCATTTTGATTTTGGGTAGGGGATTATTCTAGTACTTCTCTTCCTGGTAAATATTGAACCACCAACCTATTACTCTTTGTTATGAAACTAGGATGTCAATAACAAATTACACTTTGGAAATTGTGGTGAGTTTCCATTTAGAGCCAGTCTGCTAGACTGGAAAGATTGTTTTTATTAATTTTAAATGGCACTGAATTTGAAACTAGGCAAGTGGTGAGGATCTTTGAAGGTGCTTGGTAGTAGCTTGGTTGCTGTGGGGAAAGCTAGAATGAGACCACTCCCTTCGTACTGTCTTCACTCGCTCCAACTGAAGTGGGTAGAACAGCAGATTTCACAACTGGTTCTAAAACTTATTTGATCTCCCTACCTCCTCCAGAATAAAGTGGTCTATCCAAGATCGATTCTCATTTCACCCTGCACCCAACTCATTTCACAGCGTCATGGTGACAATGATGAGAACACTGAGCCTGGCTGCATCTCAATTAGAACCCTACTGGAATGCCATTGGCCACCAGGTCTGGAATCGTGGGGAGAGAGCTATTATAGCACAGCTGGTGACAGCAATGGCAGCCAGAGCCAGGCATGTTCTATCTGCAGAAGTTGAACACATTTGATACAAAATTACAGCTAGATAGGAGGAATAAGTTCTAGTGTTCTATGGCACTGGAGGGTGAGTATTGTTAACCATAATTTATTGTATATTTCAAATAGCTAAAAGAGAGGATTTTGAATGTTCCCAACACAGGGATAAATGAGGAAATGAATATGCTAATTACCCTGATTTGATCATTACACATTATTTACAGGTATCAAAATATCATCTGTATCCCACAAATACGTACAATTGTTATGTGTCAATAAAAATAAAAGAAAAAAAAAGAAGTGGAACACATTTGTCAGAAATGAACAAGTTCAGGATCATTGCCTAAGAAGGTGGGGCTTCTGTTTTCTGGAGGAGAGGAAGCTTCCTACCAACTCTAACATGTTCTCCTAAATGTATTCCTGTCCTGCGTTACTGCAATATCTTTAACTTCTCCCCAAATTATATGAGCCCCACATGATCCCATCTCTGCCACCACAGTTATAGGATAAGATCTGGTTGCAGACTAAGAAACAAACAAAGGAAATGCATCATGTAGAGAAGTAAGGATGCTATGCTGTGGTGGAGAGTGTGAGCTTTGGGGTTGGATGGGTCTGGGATTGAATATCAGTTCTGCAGTTCACTACATGTGGGACCTGGTCTCGGGCAAAGGATTTTTAATCTTTTCAAAGCTTTAGTTTCTTTTCTTTTCTTTCTTTTTTTTTTTTTTTTTGAAACAGAGTCTCGCTCTGTTGCCCAGGCCAGAGTGCAATGGCACGATCTTGGCTCACTGTAACTTCCTCTGCCTCCCAGGTTCAAGCGATTCTCCTCCCTCAGCCTCCTGAGTAGCTGGGATTACAGGCATGTGCCACTGCGCCCAGCTAATTTTTGTATTTTTAGTAGAGACCGGGTTTCACCGTGTTTACCAGGCTGGTCTCAAACTCCTGACCTCAAGTGATCTTCCCGCCTTGGCCTCCCAAAAGTGCTGGGATTACAGGTGCAAGCCAACACACCCAGCCTTAGTTTCTTCATACAAAAAATGGGACAGGATAGAGGAGAATTGGCTGCTGGGCTGGGACCTTTGGGATTTAATGGGGAGGACATTGGAACAGAGTCAGAATGCCCGGTATTGGGTTCCAGTTCTTCCACTATTGAACAGTAGTGTGCCTAGGGGCATTGGGCTTCCCTTCTTTGGATGACCCTGGTAGCAAAGCTGTGAGGATTAGGATGATGTGTGTAAAGCACACACATGATGTGCACACAGTGTTGGGCTCATAATAGGTATTCAGCCGATGAAAGATGCTATTATTATTGTTGTTATTATTTTAGTTTCAGCAAGGCTGTGTTCTGTGTATGAGCCAATAATACGAAAACTAAGGAACATTTAAAGAGTACATATATTCTTTAAAGGAAATGACCAGAAGAGGAAATGATCTTCTTTCATTCTTTTATAGAAAACAATATATTGAGTGATCAGTCAATCATCATCCACTATGTGCACCATATGTGGCAGATACTAGGCAAGGTGCTCAGAGAGATGCAGAAAGGCAGACACTGAGGCCAGGATCTGCATGTGGTTAGGGAGGCAGAGAGAGGCACACCCAATGTTAATGAGCAGTGCAAACCCAGCCAAGGCGGCTGAGACAACCAGTGAGAGGAAGGTGGATTTCACCTTGCAGGATGTGTAGGATGCATCCTGGTATACCTGTATCTTCCTTTTATTACCGTCAAACCCAAACAGAACCTTGGTCATCTGGAGTCCAAATTTGCTCAAAACCAATATTTCCATCGAAGCAATGCATTTTGCAACATGAGATGTTATGAGGAGTTAAAGGCCTCCCTCTCCCCTGAAGGGCAACTGGGGCAATAGATCCCTTCACCCCACCAGCCCCTTAGCAAAAGAATAGAAAGACTAGATCCCTGCGGGAATCTGGGAGGGCTTATTTGGAATTGCCACAAGATGCAACAAGAGTCAGAACTCATGGGCACAAAGAGCAAGAACATAAAACCCACACAAAAGGATGGCCACACCAGGGCATCAGAGACCTCTCACTTCCTTATCCTCACTGCAGAGCATTTGAGGGATAACGGGGAGCTGGCAAAATACTCCCCTGGGAAGGGGCCCTCCTATGCTGCTCTCTCCTCCCAAACCCCAACTCCTTGATTATTCCTTTCCCTAAGGAGTAACTGCAGCTAATGTGACCTGATTCTTGCCTCAGCGGTCAAGAAGGACCAACTTAGAGACTAGATCTCAGGGCAGAGGGGAAATCTCTGGAGAGTTTGCTAGTAGGTTCCTCCCATCCTACTGAGAATGAAGAGCAGGCGCTCACACCTGTGTGGGCAGCTTGGACTCCAGCGCCAGGTCTGGAACTCGCTCTACTTTCTAATCGTGTCCTGTAGGGCGTGGGAAGGAGGAGCAGGCTCAGTGTGCATGAGTCCAGGTTCCAATCATGCCACTTACTGGCTGTGAGATGCTGGGAGAGGGATTCAACCATCTGGGCCTGTTTCCTCTTGTGTGCAACGAGGGAGTTGGCTCCCTCTGAGCCCTAGGAGTTCTACCAACTCCTGTGGTTCTAAATCTGCAAAGTCTTCAACATTACACTTGAAAAAAGACACTGGTTTAATTAAACTTTGTAACACTTACTATGTGTCAGGCACTATGTAAGCACATTACCCATATTGAATTGTGTAATCCGCCAACAATCCTATGAAGTAGGTTCCACTGCTGTCCCTATTACATGGATGAGTACACAGAGGCATATGGATATTATGTAACCTGCCCAGGGTCACATACTTAGTTAGTGGCAGAATTTGAACTCAGGCAATTTGGCCTTGGGGCTGTATAGACTCTACATACCTCTCATCTACCTAATACAGGAACACAGACCCCCAAGAGGGCAACATCTCAATTCTACTACTAGTATCACATCTGCATGCATTCTAGTGAGACAGAGGCAGCAAAGAAACTGAGCACGTGGGGCCAGCACCTCTTCCAAAACCCCCATAGTCCAAGTTGCTTAGAGAGTCTTGACTTGACCGCTCAGCATTATCCAGGGCCGTGGGGGAGTTATGTGAGACCACGTCCGGGAAAGTGCTGCGTCAACCTCAAGGACTCAGCAAAGGTCATTCTGTCTGTGGTTGGAATATTTACCAGGAGCCCAGTGCTGTGCAAGGCACTGCAGTGGGCACAGTATAAACCAGACACAGTGCCCTGCTCTCACTGGTGTGGGCCAGAGCAGATCTCCTGGGGATCTCATGAAAATGCAAATTCTGCTTCAGCAGGTTTGGGTTGAGGCTGGGGTTTGCATAGCGCACACTCTCTGATGCAGAAGCTGCTAATGGGTCCTCAGAAAGCAAGAGTGTAGCCTCCAGGCACTTGGGATTTGAAGGAGGAAGCCCAGGCAGGTTGGAGAAGTCAGGGGAGGCATCCTGGGGTGGGGTTGGGGGCTGGATGGTAGCTGGAGATGGGCCAGCACCTGTGCAGTTTTGTGGTGTTGTGGGGGCAGCGTACAGGAGGTGCTGTGGGAAACAGAAACAAAGCCCAGCCTGGGCAGATGTCCAGGGGTCAGCCAAGCCTGCCTAAGGGGGAGCAAGGGCCCAGCTGGGGCTGAGGAGACTCTGCCGGCTGCAGCCCTGGAGCTGCCTCCTCCACCCCTCCTGGTGTATGTATTAGATGTCATAGCAGCCCTTAGTCTTGATGGGGAAGCTCTTCTCGCACATTTCCATATTTATCTCTCTGAGTCTGCAGGGAAAGCACAGAGCAGCCTTCAGACAGGCTCTCCGGGCTCCCCTGGGCCAGGTTCATGAATAAAGATGCCTCCACTGGGAGAGTTCTCCCAGCCTTCCCTGTGGGAAGGGGAAGGGAGGGGAAGAGCTGGGCAAGAGGGGCCGGAAGGAACCGGACAGCCAGCTCTAGAGGGTGGAGGCAGCAAGGACTAGATCCGGGTGGGCGACAGCCTATGGATGGCACCTGGAACACTGGAATCATTTCTCCTCTCAATGCCTCAGTTTCTCTGCCTGTAAATCAGGAGATTGAACAAAACAGCTTAAGGGTACTTGTTCCAGGTCTGGCTTTCTGTGATTCTGTCATAAAGAGAGGCCAATGTTTTGTGACTGCTAAAGCACTCTCCAAACACAAAGCCTACTGTGAGTACCTTTGAGAGCAGCCCTGTCCAATAAAAAGATATCATGAGCCACAAATGCCAATCACATAAGGAATTGGAATTTTTCTAATAGCCATATTACAAAGGTAAAAAAAAAAAATAGTTTTTAATAATAGATTCCATTGAACCCATTATATTCAAAACACATCGAAATTACATCATTCATTCAACATGTAATCACTATTAAAGTTATCAGTGAGATATTTGACTTTTTGGACTAAGTCTTTGAAGCAGGTACATGTGTCATTACTCACAGCACATCTCAATTCCTGCTAGCCATATTCTAAGTGCTCAAAACCACATGCAGCCCGTGGCTACCATACTGAACCCTGCAGCTCTCAGCAGTGCAGACAGTGTGAAAGGGCGTGTATGAGCTGTTGCCATAAAAGATCTTCGGGAATATGTGCATGTCATGGTGTGAGCATCCACTGGTCAAGGAAGCAGGGGTTTGTGTGTTATCCTGGAAAACCATAAGCCTCTGAGCACAGGCTGCAGCCTTTTCCTGCCCTTGGACTCCCCAGTCTTCTAGGCCAGTGAGTGTGGCCAGAGAGATGAGGCCTTCTGCTTGCTTGGAGCTTGGTGGAATCCATGTTTTCACTCCAAATCTAGGTGTCTATTGCCTTTGTACCTTGATGACATCTTTCATTTTCCCAAGACCCTGGCTTACTATTTCCCCATCTCAGGTACCATATGCCAGGGAGTGCTATGGTAATTATACTGGCTTCATATCATAATTCTAAAATGTTACTCTGGGGAAGAGCTCTTTCCACCAAATCCTGACACCCGCCCCCACCCCATGCCAGATAAATTAGTAATTTTTCCCCTTTCTCTGAAAAGCAATAGTGGAGGCAGTTTGGCTTGAGGAATGAGTGAGGGCTACAGAGCCACAGTGACCATGTCAAACTCTGGCCCATTGCTGAAGCATGGCCTTGAGTAGGGCACTTTGCTTGTAAGCCTCAGTTTCCATGGGTGTGAAAAGATAAATCCCATGAGTAAATGGCATTTTGTACAGTGTCAGGCACATGGGAGACACTTTTAAAAAGGTAGCTTACTTTGCTTCCTTCTGTCCTCAGCATTGTGGATGTCTGTTTTGGAGATGACATTACAAAAAGTCCTTTTACCTGTTTTAATGTAATTCTCACAACAGTCCTCTGAGGTGGGGCTCATAGATGAGAAAACTGTGGCACAGACCTTCAAAATAACTTTCTCAAGATCACAAAGTCAACGGCAGGAGCTAAATTGTGAACCTAGAAAATCCAACTGCAGAATCCTGGTGCTAATATTCTTTGCCTCGACGCTACATGAGAGGTAGAACTCCTAGGAGAAGGAGCTTTTGAGCTTAAACTCCAAAAGCAAGAACCACAAGCCAGGATGGAAGATTTTAGGGTGGCCACGATGATGACCTGAACCCAGATCTTGCTAAGGCAAGTCCCCTCAGCAGAGATTTAGGAATTCTTACATTTTGCCTTCCACCTGTCATCAGCCATCCCTGCAGATTCCCCACCGCCCACAGCTTGCTGTCAGGATTCTATTTTCTGGAGCACCATTCCCAGCAGGCCTCTGAGATTCCTGGCACAGGACCAGAGCCCTGAGTGTTCCATCTCCGAGCATTCGTCTAGGAGACACACACCCCTGTCCTTCAGCCCAGTCCCTCTGGCGGACCCTTCTCCTCCTCCTTTTTGGCACCTGTGTTTGCAGCAACCAGGGAGATATTTAATTCCCACTTCTGCCCAACAGCTTGTTGCTAAGCAGCTGGTGCACCCTGAGATGTGTGGAAGGAAAACCTCATGGTGACAAAAACAAACCCTCATGTGCCCTGAGCCAAGTGTGTATGTATGTATGTGCACATGTATGTGTGTGTACGTGTGTATGTGTGTTCAAACGAGCTAGGGGTCGAGCTGCCAGTTAGAGCCTGACCGTGAGTCAGAACCAAGCAGGAGCAGTAACTCCCTGCAGCGGGACCCATGGGACAAGGAGGCTCTGGCTGGGGTTTGAGGGGTTCCAGGAGAAAGTGGAAGCAGCACCAGAGCACGAAGTGGGTGGGATGGAACTGTGTGACTATGGGAATGAGCTAACCATTTTCTCTTCTTTGGCAGTTGTGATCTCAGCAAAACAAAAAACGAACATACAAAAATACCTGTTTTCCTCCTCACCCTACTACGACCTGAGAGGCTCATTCTTACTTTGCTGATCTCAGAGGAGAGATGAGGGTGTCAGGGGACGGGAAGGGGCACAGCTAAGCTTTGCCTCAGCCTCATTTGTACAACAAACACATCGCAGGGCATTGTCTGCACCTTGGGAAATGTCACACATTGCCTTTTTATTTCTTGCTTCTTCCCTGGACACGTGTTGAGAAGACCGCTAAATGCAAAGGCTGAGATGGAAAGGGACAGAAGTTCCTATTGCCTTCTCTCCTGGTCAACTGCATAACAAACTTTGCCTCAAGTCTTGCCAGGACCTCTTACATAATTTGCAGGGCTCAGTGCAAAAGGAAAATGTAGGGCTTCCTCTTTAAAAATTATTAAGAATCAAGATGGCAGCAGCAGAGCAGTAAGCCAAGTGTGGGGTCCTTCTGAGCACAGGGCCCTGGGCACCTGCCAGCCCTGATTCTCGCCTGCACACTGCTGTTACAATGAGTGAGCGCATCTGCAAGTCTAGGCCTTAACCTCTCTACTGCACGCTCTTTGATGCCCTCCTCCACCTTCTCCCCCACACTCCAGGATGAAAGCCACTCTGCTTAGTCCAGTCCCACAAGGCCCTTTTCGACTTGGGTCCTGCAAACCTCTCCAGCTTCATTTCTCCACCACCCTCACCTCCTCAGACACTCCAAGCTGGTGCCGATCCATGGGAAATCTTTCCAGAGTGCTTTTGCATGCTTTGCCCATGCTTTTCTCTTGCCCCTTCACTTCTTGCTAGCTCCTGTTAGTCCTTTATCACTCAGCTCAAGGGGCACTTCTCTGAGCCCCTTGTCTTCTCAGCCTGCTCTTTCCTTTCCACCCCATATTCCAACTCTCTCCCCTGCCTAAGCTGAGTTAAGGGCTTCCCCTCTGAGCAATGACAATACCCTGTATCGATGCACAGGGTCACTTGGGCCTTGTCTTGTCACGAGCTGTTTTATGCCTGCCCCCAACTCTGCTCTGACATCCTCCAGGGAAGGGTCACTCCTGACTCATGTCTGTATTCTTAGTGCCTGGAACACAATGGATATTCAATAAGTATTTCCTGACTAACTCGATAGGTGAAGGTGGCCTCTGCTAGATCCATCACATTCGGCTCTTACTTTTAATTTTTTTTTTTTCTTTCTGAGACAGAGTCTCACTCTGTCACCCAGGCTGGAGTGCAGTGGTGTAATCTCGGCTCCCTGCAACCTCTGCCTCTCAGGTTCAAGCAATTCTTGTGCCTCAGCCTCCAGAGTAGCTAGGATTACAGGCACTCACCACCATGCCCAGCTTTTTTTTTTTTTTTTTTTTTTTTGTATTTTTAGTAAAGATGGGGTGATATGGTTTGGCTGTGTCTCCACCCAGATCTCATCTTGAATTGTAGCTCCCATAATTCCTATGTGTCCTGGGAGGGACCCAGTGGGAGGGTCATTCCCACACTGTTCTCATGATAGTGAATAAGCCTCACGAGATCTGATGGTTTTATAAAGGGGAGTTCCCCTGTACAAGCTCTCTCACCTGATGCCATGTAAGACATGACTTTGCTCCTCATTCGCCTTCAGCCACGATTGTGAGACCTCCTTAGCCATGTGGCACTGTGAGTCAATTAAACCTCTTTCATTTGTAAATTACCCAGCCTCAGGTATGTCTTTATTAACATCATGAGAACAGACTAAGAAACAGGGTTTCACCATATTGGTCAGAGTGGTCTTGAACTCCCAGCTTCAAGTGATCTGCCTGCCTTGGCTTCCCAAAGGGCTAGAATTATAGGCATGAGTCACTGCACCCGGTGCTTTTCTTACTTTTAATACCAAATCATCCAAGAAGTATTTTTAATGCTTATTTCTGCATTTCATAGTTCTTCTCCAAAGGGTGATTTATTCAATGTATAACTGAAGGAAATATGCTGTGTCTATTTTTTAAGGCACTTTAATGAAAATAGCAATGCTTTTTTCTTACTCTATAGATAGTACACATTTACGAAGAAAAAATTTAAAACACAAATAAAGGAATAATTAGCCGAAAACCTACCACTCAGAGTTATTATTAAGAGTGATCATTGTTTGGCCAGGCACAGTGGCTCATGCCTGTAATCCCAGCACTTTTGGAGGCCAAGGTGGGCAGATCACGAGGTCAGAAGTTCGAAACCAGCCTAACCAACATGGTGAAACTCCATCTCTACTAAAAATACAAAAATTAGCTGGGTGTGGTGATGCATGCCTGTAATCCCAGCTACTTGGGAGGCTGAGTCAGGAGAATCACTTGAACCCGGGAGGCAGAGGTTGCACTGAGCTGAGATTGCGCCACTGCACTCCAGCCTGGGCGACAGCAAGACTCCATCTCAAAGCAAACAAACAAACAAAATCAAAAACAAAAACAAAAAAAAACAATGACCATTGTTCTAGGAGTTCATTGATTCAATGTGTATTTATTGAACACTGACAAAGTTTCTCACACTGGGGATACAGCAGTGAATCATACAAAAAACCTTACCTGGCCAGGTGTGGTGGCTCACGCCTGTAATCCCTGTGGGTGGAACAGTTAAGGTGAGGAGTTCGAGACCAGCCTGGCCAACATGGTGAAAAACCGTCTCTACTAAAAATACAAAAATTAGCCAGGCATGGTGGCATGGGCCTGTAGTCCCAGCTACGTGGGAGGCTGAGGAAGGAGAATTACTTGAACCCGGGAGGCGGAGGCTGTAGAGAGCTGAGATCATGCCACTGCACTCCAGCCTCAGTGACAGAGCGAGACTACATCTCGGAAAACAACAACAACAACAACAACAAACCTTACCTTCATTCTAGTCATTAAGTATGTACCTGTGTATGGTTCTGCATTCTTCATGTTTACACATACACGCATGTATATTTATAACTCTAGATTTATTCATTTGGTGCTACGTCATGAAAACCTTTTAGGTCACTGGCTTTAAATATATGACCCCCTTTTTAGTGGCTGATTAATATTCCATTATATGAATGTTCTATAATTTATTTAATCAAATCTAGAGACTCTGACAATGGTTTAAAACGTCTTCACTGTTATTAATACCTTAAAGTGTTTTATTTATAAAATTGATCTGGTTATCTCCTAAACATGGACTATGGGTGAAGGAATACACAAATCTTACTTGTGACCCATATTGTCAAACCACCATCCAATAGTTAACCAGAGTGCTAATGTGTGATGCACCCTTTACATTGCCTCTGATACCAGAACAATGATACAATATTATCCAACCATTTTTGCATTTCTCTGATTTCTAGTGAGGTTCACTATCTTTTTTATATCCTTTGGAAAAATCATATACAAGTTGCTTTTTTTTTCCTGTGCAAAAGTTTAGATTTTTATATGATCAAGGCATCAGAATTTTCCTAAATGGTGTTTGGTTTTGGTGTCATTTTGAAAGTCCATCCCCACACCGAGATTCAGAATATTTCCCTATGTTTTCTTCTAATACTTTCCTCTCTCTCTCATTTACCTTTGAATATTCACATTTAATTTGTGAATATAATGGCTAGACAATTGTTATAAGATTTAATGAAAAGTCCATTTTTTCCTTTCTGATTTAAAATGCCATTTTGGGCTGCGCACAGTGGCTCACGCCTGTAATCCCAGCACTTTGGGAGGCCAAGTCGGGCAGATCACGAGGTCAAGAGTTCGAGATCAGCCTGGCCAACATGGTGAAACTCCGTTTCTACTAAGAATACAAAAATTAGCCAGGCGTGGTGTTGTGTGCCTATAATCCCAGCTACTCAGGAGGCTGAGGCAGGAGAATTGCTTGAACCCAGGAGGCGGAGGTTGCAGTGAGCCAAGATCGTGCCACTGCACTCCAGCCTGGGCAACAGAGCAAGGCTCTGTCTTGAAAAAAATAAATTAAAAAAAAATAAAATGCCGTTTTGCCCCATATATGCGGGTGTATGTTTGATATGTTTGAACTAGTTATTATTTCTTTATTTGGTTGTCAATTTATTCCTCTGTTAACGGCATAGTATCTTAATTATTGCAAGCTTATAAAATATTTTAATATGTGGAAGTTATCATCTTCTCTCTTCTTCTTTTATTATTGAAAATATACTCTTCCAGAGGAACTTTAAAATAATTAGATCAAGTGGCAAAACAATGAAACAAAGCAAACTGTGATGAGATTTTGATTGAGATAGCTTTGAGCTGCTACATTCATTAGGGAGAGCTGGCATCTTTGCAGCACTGAGTCTTCCTATTCAAGAACAAGGAACATCCACTTGCTTATTTATGTCTCTCAACTGATGAGGCTTCTGCAGTGTGAACTGCCACCTCCCTTTCTCACAGAGCTGCAAGCCCTGCAGCTTTGGAGTAAGGGCATTGAGCCTGAGGGAATGACTCAAGAGGGCACTCTGGGCTAAAATTCCAGTGACAGTGGCAGGAGGCAGCCAAATGCCTAGGCAGATGAGGTGGGTCCATGGTGAAACCCTACCTCCAAGGTACATACTTAATTACTAGAAGACAAGGCAAAGACAGTTGAAAGCCCGAAATCCAAGCTACAAGTAAAATACACGGACGAGATTGAGAATCTATTTTCTCGTTTGGCTTGCTTGCTTGTGATTAAGCCCCACCCTTCACCTATTTTACATTTACCTATCCTTTCCTAATTGTTTTTCTACACTATCGTGCCCACCTTTGGGTGTTGTCTTCACTTTAACCTGTTTTTGCATACTCACAAACCAATCTGCATGCACTCGCCATTCCGAGTCCATAAAAAGCCTGGGACCCAGCCACACTGAGAGAGAAATCACCTGACTGTGGGGGTGGGGGACCACCCCACCGTGTCCCCTCTCAGCTGAGAGCTGTTTCATTGCTCAATAAAATTCTTCTCTGCCCATCCTTACCCTTCTAATTGTCAGTGTAACCTTATTCTTCTTGGATGAGGGACAAGAGCTCAGGAATTGTTGAATGCGGGTACAATCTATAACACAGCAGGCCGAGTGGACGAGGTGCCTCCAGCAGGCCTGGGGCCAAGCAAGGCCCAGGCATGGCAGGGGGTATTGCTGGCCATGGAGTTCCCTGGTTGGCAAAGTGGCTGAGAAAAATTCTGCATCACCAGTGGCAGTTGGAAACCATTGCCAAGTAAGTCAAGTCCACTGAACTCAGAAGGGCTTACACAGAGAGGGGATTTAGAACAATCCTGCCCCAGGAACAAAACTGTCTTTCTCTGGAGAAATTGCTATAGCTTAGATCTCAGTAGGGGTGGCAGGAAAGACCTTTCATGAGTTAAGTGAAGGACTGCTGATATGGGGGCACCTCCTAGGATAGTTGCTTCATAGAAGCTTCTCATTGCATTTTCTCACCAACCCTGTGAAGTGGCTAGTGTTGCCCTACGTAACACGGAAGGGGCATATGGTTTGGTCACCTGCCTCAAGGTCTTGGAGCTAATGCTCTGGGATTGGATCTCAGATGTGTCTGCCTTTGAGCCCTTCAACTAAACAACCCTGAGCCTTAAGGGACCTTATAACAGCCCTGAAAACTCAGTCTGGGTGTGGGTGGAGACAGCTCCAGAGCCCCAGGCTGGGTGCCCAGAAGGGCCAGGTGGGACAGACACCCAAGGAAGATGCAGAGACAGGCGATTTAGCTGTGGCTGGGCTTCTGAAGCTTTGCCTTGGCTCTGAGCCCTGTGTTGAAGGCAGGCATTCTCTTTGTGCCACTAGAGTGAGGAGTTTTGAAGCACAGAGAGACCTAAGGCTTGGTAACTATGTGGGAGGCAGGAATCAAAGCAGGTGGGGCAGAGGAGAGAATGAGATCACCTCAGAGAAGAGCTGTGCTCTTCAGCAACTAAATGCAGAGAGCAGAGCCTCCTTGGAGCCCTGCCTCCCTGAAGATCCCAGCAGGGGCTACAGAACAGGCAGGTGGCTGAGCTCAGGCCAGGACCCAGCCTCCCTGTGGCCCTTTTAAACTCAAGGACTTACATGTACAGAGTAAGACCTCCCTTATATCTCAGATGTGGGCAGCCTGCCTAAGGTGCTGTGGGACTTTGAATTTCTCTAACACCATTTAGAGGGAGGTATTCTAACAACTTGGAAACCACATCTGAATGCTCAGATTACTGCAGTCCTCACAAATCTTTCTCCCTGGTACAAAATAACTCACCCACAACTCTGGACTTAAACCACAATCCAGTGGCCTAATAAGGCCTTAAAAAAACCACAATGTCACTCTTCTCTGTTTCCTGCCCCTCGGTACCTAGTGGAAACAGTGTAGACTCCTCAGCTGGGCATTCAAGGACCTTCAAAATTAGGTCCTGAGCTTTTATCATGCACTCCCTCCTCCCTACACTATATATCAGACAGAAAAAATTATTTGTTTTTATTCAAATTCTTCACACTCCTCTGCCTCCAATGCTAGGTCAATTTAACAACTGTTAGATATCCAATATGTGCCAGACCCAGGTGAATCCAGAAAGAGCCAAGATGGACTGCTGTCCTCAATAACTCACACTCTATTATGCCTTTGCTCCTGCTGGCTACAATCTCCAGCCTGGATTTGAGCTTCTTAACCTTTTATTTGTACTTCTATTAAGATACTTACACTATTGTGTTATTTTTTCTGGCCATGTGTCTGTGTCTACCTTGCTAGATGTGAAGCTGCCTTTGCAAAAATCGTAACTGAGAAAATTATAACAGTGAAAGATATCAGACCTAACTGACCCCATCTTGCTTCTAACCTCTATACTGTCCTTGTTCATTCCTGGGCATAGGCCGAACTAGCTTTGGAAAGGAATTTAGTGTATAGTTATATAATAGCCCTTCCCAAAAAGCTATTCTTGTAAAGCAAATGAAAGGTCACCAGCCACCAAATCAAGATGAGAGGGGCTGGAATTTGAAATATTACCAATCATTATTTTGGAGGTCATAAAATTTGCAACTTCCTCAATCACTCTTGAAGGTAACATCACTATTGTGAACCTAAGATCTGCTTTTTGAGATGTCTTTTCAGATTTTTGCATTTCTAACAACAGATGGCCCCACCTGGACCTGCCAACCAGTTCTGTGGCCCCAACACAGGAACTGACTCAGCACAAGACAACGGCTTCAACTCCCTGTGACTTCATCCCTGAGCTAACCAATCAACATTCCCGATTCACTGGACCCCTACCCACCAAATTATCCTTAAAAACTCTGATCCCCAGGTTTTCAGAGAGACTGATTTGAGTAATAATAAAACTCATCTCCTGCATAGACACCTCTGTGTGTATTACACTTTTGCTATTGCAATTCCCGTGTCTTGATAAATCGCCTCTGTCTAGGCAGTGGGCAAGGTGAACCCCTTGGGCGGTTACAGATTGGGCAAACTACCAAGGTGAAAAGGTCATCTTTTATCTATCTTTGTGTACCTGAAAACACAGAGGGGGCACAAGATAGGTGCTTCATTGAAAGGATGAATAAATGAGTAAGCCCTAGAAGCAATGACAGATTGCTATGCATGCAAATGAACTAGGATTGTTTGAGGGTTGCTTATCTTACCTCCTCCAGGGCCCTGAGGCAGCCACGGGCTGTGATGTGGTGAGATGGGGGTATGTGGTGTCTCCTTGGCGTGGATTTGCATTTAGGTCCTGAAGCTGTTTGGATGTGGTGTTGAAATGAGGGTGAAACTGCTGGGATAGTCCAGGAACAGATTTTAGACAAAATAGTCCTTTATTGCTTTGATTGCTGTTAAAAAGCCTTCTTGGGGCAACCCCACCCAGAGTCTGTGCAGCAGACAAGCTGCACCCAGCAGGCTATGGCCATGGTCAGGCCAGGCTGGAGTGGGGCTGGCATCTGAGAGCCGCAGTTCTTCATCATTGAATATTCCCAGAGCCTCTTCTGAGTATCTTAGTGAGGCTTCTACCCAGTGACAGATTTTTCCTTTGTCCTAGAATTGTGGACAATGCTCCAAACTGAAAATAAAAGGTAGTAAGCACTTCATTCTAACTTCAGAGAGCTGCTGGCAGTTGGGGTCAGCCATAAGTTGATAGGGTCTAATAAAGGTGTACCTTTAAGAATCACTCTTGCATCCAACCATCATCTCCCAGGCCAGCTTAGAGACAATGTTCTCTTTGCTCCTCTGCAGACACAGGGGCAGGGTGGGTGGGAAGGGTTGGGGAGTGCTTCCCCTGGTGGTTCCAAAAGAGTTCATCTATGAGAATGGCAGGAAATGGGCATTTTGCTCCCTGACTGGCTGTCGCTTAGGACTTCGCTTAGTGGCCCCTGTGCACCGAGGCTCTGGGCACTGAGGCCAGATGCTCCCTACTCCTGTCACCTTTTCCAGTTCCCAGTTCCTAAGACTTCCACATGTGCTCACTGGCCTGTAGTTGGCTCAGGCCCCAAGGGGTACTACACAAGTCCTCAGGGGAACGTGGCCTGTGATTCGCTAGCTACGGCCAGAACTCCCAACAGTCTGCCAATACTTAGGGGTGCTGCAGAGACATGATAGTGCTGCAAGGGCACCAGTTTTTGCAGGTGGGGCATATTGGGGTCATGGCTAGCCCTCAAGGAGCCCAGAGATAGTGAGGAGATTAGAAGATCAGCCAAGGGGCTGGGCCTGGTGGCTCATGCCTGTAATCCCAGTCTTTTGCGAAGCTGAGGCGGGCGGATCACTTGAGATCAGGAGTTCGAGACCAGCCTGGCCAACAAGGCGAAACCCCATCTCTACTAAAAATACAAAAAAATTAGCCAGGCATGGTGGTGCATGCCTGCCTGTAATCCTAATCCCAACGACTTGCTTAGGAGGCTGAGGCAGGAGAATCACTTGAACCGGGAAGGCGGAGGTTGTAGTGCGCTGAGATCTCAAAAAAAAAAAAAAAAAAAAAAATCAGCTAAGGAGATGCTGTAACCTGGCCTAGTTCCGTAAGGAACTTACTGAAATTCCCTTTTCTCTATATCTTCCCTGCCTCAATACATGAAGGAGTGGAGGAGCTGCTTAGTAGTAGAGGAAGGGGTGGGTGCCAAGTGCTGATCCTTGACACATTGTCCCGCCCCCAGCCCCTGCCTCCTAACTGCAGCCACAGACAAGGCAGCCTGTGCTGGGGAGGGAAGGAGAGCACTGAACTGAGCTGGAGGTGGAATTTTTTAAAATGAGTAAGACTGTCTTAAATACCTGAAATGAGTCTGTTCTGATAACCAATAACAGAGAGTGTCGCTAATTTAGGGAATCTTGCCAAGATGCTGTCAAAGCAACTATTACAAAGGAGATAATAGTTCATCATAGCACAATTGCTATATGGAATTATAAGGAAAAAATAATTTCACATTTGTATGTTCAGGAGTAGAGATTTCAGGAAACCTGGTTTCCAATATCAAGCCCACGCCAGCTGCTACTGGCATGGTAACCAGGGTACTTTGAACTGAGCCCTGTATTAGTCTGTTTTCACACTGCTGATAAAGACATACTCGAGACTGGGCAATTTACAAAAGAGGTTTAATTGGAGTTAGAGTTCCACGTGGCTGGGGAAGCCTCACAATTATGGTGGAAGGCAAGGAGGAACAAGTCCTGTCTTACATGGATGGCAGCAGGCAAAGAGAGAATGAGGAAGATGCAAAAGCGGAAACCCCTGATAAAACCATCAGAGCTCGTGAGACTTATTCACCACCACAAGAACAGTATGGGGGAGACTGCCCCCATGATTCAGTTATCTCCCACCAGGTCCCCCAAAACACGTGGGAATTATGGGAGTATAATTCAAGATGTGATTTGGGTGGGGACACAGAGCCAAACCATATCGAGCCCCATAGTAGACATTTCACACAGGCGTTTTCTCATTTAATTATCTTAATTATTTGAATATTACCTGTTGCTGCTGTAACACATTACCTCGACCATTTTGGTTTAAAGCAATACATTCATTATCTTATAGTTCTGGGAGTTGGAAGTCTGACATGGGTCTTCTCTGGGTTACCATCAAAGTGTTGGCAGAGCTACATTCCCTTCTGGAGGCTTCAGGGGAGTGGATTCCACCCCCTCTCCTTCTCTGGCTCTAAGAGGCTGCCTGCATTCCTTCACTTGTGGCCCCTTCCTCCTTCTTCAAAAGCAGTGGTGGCAGACGGAATCCTCACATTGAGTCACTCCAACCTTCCCTTCTGCCTCCCTCTTTCACTTTAAGGACGCTTGTGATTACATTGAGCCCACCTGGATAATACAGAATGCTCTCCCTATATTCAGGTTAGCTGATTAGTAACCTTAGTTCTATCTACTACCATAAATGACCTTTGCCATGTAACATAATATTTTCACAAATTCTAGGGGTTAGGACATGTATACCTTGGGGTGAAGGGGGGACACATTTTTCTGCCTATTACATTTGTTCCTTTTCACATTTTATGCATGAGACAAAAGGCACAGAGAGATGAGGTGACGAATCCATGGTTTCCCAGCGAGTGAGCCTCAGACCTGGAGATAATCACACACTGGCCCCAGCTGTCCACACAGGCATTGTTCCCTAAAAGCACTGCTGAAATTGATCAGCCAAAATCAACCCTGGCTTTTAACACAGAAACAAGTGTAGGAGACTGTGCTCTGTGTCTTCCTTGAAGTTTCCTTGCAGAAATTAGAGTTCCTGATCTGCTCCTTTAGTCCTCATGATAATTCACCATAATGTGTTTCTATCACAGAATTCCAGTTGGTTCTTGGACTTGAATTTGGCCTGTGGCACGTTTGGACCTACACTACCTTAAGTTGTAGCTAGCGACACTATGAATCTAACAGATATTTCCCATCACGTTTACTCTTAGAAGCCATCCTCACCAGGGAATCAATTAACAGTCACTTCTGTTTCCTTATTATTTAATGTAAGCTATTAATTCTTTAATTTATCTGGAATTTATTTGGTGTCTGGTGGAAGGAGAGGATCTGAATTTATGTTCCACTCTCCACAAAAATTCAACTGGATATCCCAGCAGCCTTTAGTCTATGATAGCATTTGAGCATATTTTCCATTCTTATATATGCTAGGGGTTGCTCTGATTTTTTTTTTTTTTTTTTTTTTTGAGATGGAGTCTCACTCTGTCGCCCAGGCTGCAGTGCAGTGGCATGATCTTGGCTCACTGCAAGCTCCGCCTCCCAGGTTCACGCCATTCTCCTGCCTCAGCCTCCCGAGTAGCTGGGACT
Organism: Homo sapiens; assembly: GCF_000001405.40. Taxonomy (NCBI): domain Eukaryota; kingdom Metazoa; phylum Chordata; class Mammalia; order Primates; family Hominidae; genus Homo; species Homo sapiens. The sequence continues at coordinate 17,623,548 of NC_000002.12, read as the reverse complement.
ACAGGCACCTGCCACCACTCCCTGCTAATTTTTTTGTATTTTTAGTAGAGACGGGGTTTCGCCGTGTTAGCCAGGATGGTCTCGATCTCCTGACCTTGTGATCTGCCCACATTGGTCTCCCAAAGTGCTGGGATTACAGACGTGAGCCACCGTGCCCAGCCGGGGTTGCTCTGATTTAACTGTTCTTGCCATTTTTCTGTTGTGGCATCAATACCGTACTGTTTTAATTACTGAAGTTGTAAAGCATGTTTTCATTTATGACAGAACAAGTATCCTACTTACTTACAAGTCAGCTGGTCTCTCTCAGCTCTTTACTCTTCGAAGTGGACTTTAGAATGATTTTAAATTCATATTTAATTACATCTATTCAATTTTTTTTAAGATATTGATATAATTATGAAGTATTTATAGCATTTGTAATGTTAAACTGTCCTTAAACTCCTGGCCAACTAACAAGCTTATCTCATTGTGGTGGATGATTGCTTTAATATGCACTAGCTATGGATTACTGAGACAGATAAAAAAGGATCCCTGGAGAATCTCTAACCCACCCCACAAGTGTTTATACCAGATGCTTTTGTGTAGATGAGGGAACCTGCCCAGGGTGGTTTGGACATGGCCACAGTGGATTGGAGCCCTCCTGTGCACTGGGAGGACCAGCTGGAAGTTCACGCCGTTTGCAGCAGGGAGGAGCCTGGCCTCTCCTGTTCCTGTGTGGGGACCTGGGATTTGATCTGTGAGGCAGGAAGTTGTTGGCAAGGCCCCCTGTTGCTTTGCTGAGTTTTTATGTCTTTTTCCTTTTCACCCAGTGAATTCCATTTTCCTCACACTTCTATGTGTCCATGAGCCTAATCTTTCCTGGTCATATGACAAGAGCCTGGTTTTAGCTGAGCTAAGGAGAAAGTGCTGCAACATTACTAGGATTCATTGAAGATCTTTCTTTCTTTTCTTTCTTTCTTTCTTTCTTTCTTTCTTTCTTTCTTTCTTTCTTTCTTTCTTTCTTTCTTTCTTTCTTTTCTTTCTTTCTTTTCTTTCTTTCTTTTTTTTTTTTGAGATGTAGCCTGGCTCTGTTGCCCAGGCTGGAGTGTAGTGGCGCGATCTTGGCTCACTGCGACCTCCGCCTCCTGGGTTTAAGTGATTCTCCTGCCTCAGCCTCCCAAGTAGCTGGGATTACAGGCACCCGCCACCATGCCTGGCTAATTTTTGTATTTTTAGTACAGACAGGGTTTCACCATGTTGGCCAGGCTGGTCTCGAGCTCCTGACCTCAAGGGCTCCCAAAGTGCTGGGATTACACGCGTGAGGCACCATGCCCAGCCTGATTTTTTTTTTTTTTTTGAGATAGAGTCTGAAGATTTTTATGTTCATGTTCAGAGGTAAAATTTGTAGGATGAGCTAGTAGAAGGCTGCCTGCTTTGGAATACCTCTGGATTTGATGTCTGTGATAGATGAGTGGAAAAGGAAGGCAAGGAGAGGGACTCAGAAAAATTGAGGAGAATGAGGACATGAGGCAAACTTCACTATCAGCCCAGCCTCTCTCATTATGACTCACCAGGATCTTCCCAGCAGCCCAGAAGAATCCAGTCTAAAAATCAGGACGCTCCCCTGGAACTGTTAGTTTTGGCTGGGTGCGGTGGCTCATTCCTATAATCTCATTGCTTTGGGAGGCTGAGGCTGGAGGATCAGAGTACCATACCAGCTTGGTCAACATAGCAAGACCCTGTCTCTACAAATATTTGAAACAACAACAAAAAAATTAGCCAAGTGTGGTGGCAAGTGCCTATAATCCCAGCTACCCAGAAGGCAGAGACAAGAGGGTTGCTTGAGCCCAGGGGTTCGAGGCTGTACTGAGCTATGATTGTGCCATTGCACTCCAGCCTGGGTGACAAAATGACATCTCCTCTCTATTAAAAAATAAAACAAAAGAGTAGAGGCACGGTGGCTCATGCCTATAATCCCAGCACTTTAGGAAGCTGAGGCGGGCAGATAACTTGAGGTCAGGAGTTCGAGACCAGCCTGGCCAACATGGTGAAACACTGTTTATACCAATAAATACAAAAATTATCTGGGTGTGGTGTTGTGCGCCTGTAGACCCAGCTACTCGGGAGGCTGAGGTGGGAGAATTGCTTGAACCCGGGAGGTAGAGGTTGCAGTGAGATGAGATTGTGTCATTGCACTCTAGTCTGGGTGACAGAGTGAGACTGTGTCTCAGAAAGAAAAGAAAAGAGAAAAGAAAAGGAGAAAGAAAGAAAAAGAGAGAGAGAAAAAAAGAAAGAGGAAGAAAGAAAGAAAAGAAAGAAAGAAAAAGAAGGAAAGAAAGAAAGAGAGAGAGAAAGGAAGGAAGGAAGAAACTGTTGATTTTTAGAGAAAGAAACTGCTGATTTTTATAGGGCTGCCTGGTGAGATTCCCTGTTAAGTGATATGCTAGGTATTGTTTTTAAAGTAGCTTTCCTTCATCAAGTTCATTCTTGTATATAAAAATGACCATACTGCTCATGACTCACCATTATGTAACCATAAGTCTATTATAGTTTTCCTATTAACTTGCTTTATTCTACTCATCAGCATTTGATTACACAAATATTCTCTTAAGGTTTTATTATGCTTGGATGTGAGAGGAAGAAGTAGCATTCCTTTGAAACAATGTAAAATTCAAATTAGCCCTCCCCAGTGAGTTTAAATTGAGAGGTTTCATTCTACTTTTTTTCTGAATTTATCGGGGTTAGTCTGTACTGTTTTACACTAGCAGATGAAGGTTGTATGATCTTTGCAATTTTTTTTTGTACTATATTATACCCTCTTTTATTTCTGAGGCTTAGAATCAATTTGTAGCGTCACTCGATAAAAGACAATAGTGGGTGTGGAATTCTTTTTCTCAAAAGATAATATCATGAATAGCATAATGCTCACCTTCCCACCCACTTTCTCAGGGGAAGAGTGATGACTGCATTCTACTGTGGCCCCTTTGTTTTAATTAGAGGCTTCGTCTGTGGGTGAGGAATCCTGGGCTGGAGGCAGCTCGAGTCCCCCATCCAGAAGCCTTCCACGTGGGAGGCGCACTGAAAGCACAGCAGATCTTCCCTGAGAATGAGGAGGCGGGGCCCCTGCACCTCCCATCTGGATACCCTCCAGGTTCCTGCTGGTATTTCTGCCTCTAGCCTGCCCTTCTCGCTTTGCCAATCCCTTGTCCAGACTGCTTCCAGAATGAACCACTTAGAAAATTCCATGAAGCCATCCTACCCATGCTACTTAAAACCCTTCACTGGTTTTTCATCACTTTCTGGAGTTGGATCCCCATGAGAAGGGCCTGGCTCACGTCTCCAGGGTTTTGCCCGTTCATACAGTGGTACCCTCTCTGCCTGACGGACACATTAGGCATGAGCAAAATGAACTTCTGTGTTTCCCAATGTGCCTTCCAGGATATGACCTGTAATTTCTTACCTCCATGCTTTCCCCATTGCAGGAAGGCCTCCCTCTCAAATGCTTTCTATCTCCTGGCATTTTCTTACAGATGCTCTAGCACTCAGTTCATATAGAAAGATTGAACTCCAAGCTAGGGCAAGTGCCCTTCCCCTATGCCCTCTCAAGACCCTGGGCATGACTCCACCACACATTATTGTAATCACTTAGAATGGCCCTGTAACATTGCTGGGGGCCTTTTGGGGGGGGATTGCATTTTTTTTTTTTTAAGACTGTAACAAACAAATTATTTGAATCCCCGGTGTCTAGTACCATTCCTGATCATAGTATATGCCCAATAAATCTTTATTCAGTGAATGAATACGTTACCCTCATTCCTCAGGTGAGGAAATGCATAAGGAGGGAGGCAAATGATGGAGCACAAGGAGGGAGCCCTGGATGGGGAGTCAGGACCATGAGTTCTAATACTGTTTGTGACCTGGTTTCTCTACTTTCCTGCCTAGAAGCTGCCTTTTCTAAAAAGGCAAATAAGGGAAAATTGAACAAGTTGAGGTCCAGTGCCCAAACTTTCCACCAAAGCACCCTTAAGAGTAGAAAATACCTGAGACCTCAGAAGGCTCGGGGGCTGCTGAGTCTGAAGTTTCGCATTTGAGTTAATATTCATGTAAAATATGTGTTATGTGCCCTAAAATGTCTCCTTTTAAAAACTGAAATGTGTTTGCAAAACCCATCAGTTAGTTAACTTAAAAAACCACCCCTCAATCTCCAAGAAAAATTAGCCTGCTGAGAAGATGGACCAAGATTGCCCGCTCTCTACCTATACCCAGGCCTCCACCATGTGGGTAACTTGGTTAAAGACAGATAAAAGAAGGAAGAATGCTGATTCTGGATTCAGAGAAGACCAGATCCAATTTCAGTTGTGTTACTTATTAGCTGTATTACTTCAAATAAGCTGCATAACCTCTTTGGGCACTGGTGGTATCCTCTGTAAAACTGGGGAGATGGCAGCCTCTTGGACCTTGTGAGGAGCTTGTGAAGCATCCTGGGAGAGCCCCTGCCGTGTGGCACACAGTGGTTATTCAGTATTGGCTCTCTTCCTTCGCCCCTGACTGTCAGATTCTCTTTGGAAGCTTCTCTTCCCAACCCCGACCCCACCACTGATTCACTGGATCATGAGAGAATGATTACAAGCAGCAGTAGGACCAAAGTGCTGGGGGAATTTTCTGGTGACATATGGAAAAAACATATGCCTGGAGCCATTCCCTCCTCTGCCTTCCTTACCTAAGCCCACTGGCCCAATTCACTGAACTCCTCATGTCTAATTTCTTCATGTGTAAATGTGGATAATTAAGGCATCCTTGTAGAGCTTTAGTGAGGATTAAATCAGTTAATATGTGTAAAAATCTAGCAGAGTGCTTATCACATGTTAGGTGCTCAGTCTGTCGGAAATATTATTATTACTCTTACAATAATGGTTATTGAGGGCCCATATTCACAGAACCTGGGCAGAGGAGGCAGAATGATGCTCTCCCCTCAGAGATGTCTACATTCGAACCCCTGAAGTCTGTGAATATGTTACCTTACATGGCAAAAGGGACTTTGCAGATGTGATTAAGTTAATGACCTGCAAATGTGGAAATTATTTCTGGATTATCCAGATGAACCCAGTGTAATCACAGAGTCCTTACAAGAGTCAGAGAAGGGGACGTGACAGTGTAAGCAAAGCAGGCAGAGATTTGAAGATGCTAAGCAGCAGAATTTAAAGATGGAGGAGGGGTCTCAAGCCTCCAAATGAGAACAGCCTTGAGGAGGTGAGAAAGGTAAGGGAATGGATTCTCTCCTAGAACCTCCAAAAGAAACCCAAGCCTAATGAAATCTGTTTCAGATTTCTGGCCCCCAAAAGTGTAAGATAATACATTTGTGTTGTTTTAAGCCATCAGTTTGTAGTAACTTGTTACAGCAGCAGTAGGAAACTGATACACCAGGTGACTACATCCTTGAGCACAGACAGCAACATTGACCACCAAACTCCTCCTCTGCTTAGCAGGTACCAGGACAAGAGCTGGTCCTCTCACACTTCCCTTATCCCCCTCCCCATATTCTTTCCCCGGGTACTGCTGCTTTCTGGGGTAAGAAAGGTGCTGCCATGCTTGAACTGTGCCACTGGAAACCACACCTATTCTTCCCTGGAGAAAGGTAGAGGAAAAAGTGTAAGGTGGGGTGTGTGTGTGTGTGTGTGTGCGCGTGCATGTGCATGTGCATGTATGCAGGTGAAGGCATCTCAAAATTGGAAAAGTGCCACATGATGGGGGCAACAATTCAGCCCTGTTCAATTCCAGCATGCCCAGCCTGACAAGCTGAGGATGAACGGCAGTTGCCATGGAGACAGCATCCCTTACTTCCACTTGCTGCCTCCTTAGTGTTGCTCCTCACTGTGTGATGCGGTCACCACCCAGCTCTCGGCAGCACCACACCCTGGCAGGGTCCCACCCTGGCTGGGGCACTTCTGCTGTTTCACCTCTTTTTAACTTAACTGAATGAACTCTACAAGCCAGGAAATAGGTTTGGGAACAAGGATGAGAGGCTTAAGGTACAGTGGACAGAGTACTAGTCTCAAGACCTCTTTTTTTTTTTTAAGACAGAGTCTTGCTCTGTTGCCAAGGCTAAAGTGCAGTGGCATGATCATGGCTCACTACAACCTCTGCTTCCCAGGTTCAAGGGATTCTCCTGCCTTAGCCTCCAAAGTAGCTGGGACTACAGACACATGCCACCATGCCTGGCTAATTTTTGTATTTTTTAGTAAAGACAGGGTTTTTCCAAGTTGGCCAGGCTGATCTTGAACTCCTGACCTCAGGGGATCTGCCCACCTTGGGCTCTCAAAGTGCTCAATTACAGGTATGAGCCACCTCGCCTGGGACCTCTCAAGCTCTCCTGCTGAAGGTCTTTCCCTCCGCTGAGCTCCAGGTTCCTCTTCTGTCTGATGGACAGGAAGTTGGCCAGAATGACCTGTAAGAGCCTCTCTCACAGCTATGAGATTAAGTTCATGGAGAGATCATAAATTTAGACTAAGGAACAGGGGGGAGCTCAAAAATGGTCAGGTTGATGGCTGTTTCTCAGTGACAACCAGATTTTTCACTGTACGGCCAACCCCCCAAGGGACGAGTGGGTGTCAAAGGAGGCCATTCTCTGTGTTACACTCCCCATCTTTCTCAGAATAGTGTCCATTCTGAAATGAGTAAAGGGAGAATGGATGACCAGCTCACCCCCTGAGGCCTGTTCATCAGGACTCACTGCTGTTGAGCTTTGAGGGCCTTTCTTCCTTTACCATTCTTCTGGGGCTGTATAGCTCTGAAATTCTGCCACTGGGCAGGAGGGACTCTGGGGTCCAGATGGCATAAAGCCAAGGGAAATCCTCAAACCAACCTTATTCACCAGTTAACTTTTCAAGAATACTCAGCTAGCCCCTGACCTACAGGAAGTGGAGACATACACACAAGTAACTGCAATCCAGGGTGACACTGAGCTCACTGTGGGTGGCCAAGCTTGGCTGTTTAGGAAGCAAATTCATTTCCCTCCATCAGCTCACACCACCTACCATTGTGCCATCCATCAGTGTTTGGAGAAGTACACTCTATTCTACCTCTTCTTTGTAGGACTCGTCACAGTGCTGCAGAGAAGTGTCACTGGATCAAGGCTACACTATGCCATTTCATAACCCTTCATGATAAAGAAAGTCACCGATTGGAGCTCATCAATTAGATATGAGAGCCCGACAGGAGCCACAGAGCTGGCTGTGGGGCCACGCAGAGTCAAGAAGCCACATGGAACCTGCTGGGCTTCACTCTTGTGATGATGTTCACAGTATGTGAGTGCCTTGTTCCTGTCACCACAGCCTCCCAAGGGAGAATGTCACAGGCCAAGGGAACAGCTTGAGTACAAGGCTGGAGGTGCAATGTTGCAGAATGTCTGGGGACTGTGAGCCACCCATGTGAGCTAGTGCACAGACCACAGCAGTGAGGAAGGAAAGTTAGTGGGCCCTTTGGCAGACAGTCTTAGTCACCTTTCTACTCCACCTTCCCAGTTTTTCCTTTCTGTAACAACTGTGCTTTTGTTCAAGTCCCAAGCCCTGCAGGGGAGGATCCATTCCCTTGCCTTTTCCAGGAAATAGATGATAATTGGACTAAAATGAATCATGATGATCTTGTTTCTTGCTTTTCATTATTATTTCCTGTCCAAGTGGTATAGTTTAGGCCAAAGAGACAGATGAGTCAGTCTTCTGAAGGTGGGTGGGTAGAAGGCACTTTTTGGAAATCTTTTGATTTCCTGATTAAAAAGGACTGATGCAGCTGGAACCTTTTCCCTATCTCTGGCAGACTTGAATGGTAATGTGAAGCCTGGAACTGCAGCAATCATCTTGTATTCACGAGGGAGAGACCAAGAGAATCTCAGAGATGTTCAGAAGTCATGATCCAATGCTAAACAAATGTCCAGCTCCAAACTTCTTTGTATGTGACAAAAATAAACTCCTGTCTATTTAAACCACTGTTTGCTGGATTCAGTTAATTGTAGCCAAATATCTGAGACAGGCCCAGTGCAAGGAAATGGAATTTTTACCTTTTCCAGAGGCAAAGGGAGTTAGAGGAGGTTTCTTTTGTTATTCTTTAGAATTTAGTTTTACATGAATAGTGATGGGAGCTGCCCTGATTTGATCACTCTACAACATATGCATATACAGCTCAAAACATCAAATTACACCTCATGAATACAATTACCATGTGTCAGCAAAATATTTTTAAAAAATGATACTCCATACATGTTGTGAAAACTTTAAGTGACAAAAAAATAAAAAAATAAGGCATGAGGGGCACCCTCACTCTCACCAATCCCACTTCCTGGAAGTAAACGCTATGAAGAGAGAGGGGGCAGGGAGCTATGTGTGTATATTTTACAAAAATCAGATTATTCTGCACATCTTTCTATTAATATATAGGGTTTTGCAATTGGCTTTTCTTATTTAATGACATGTCATGGATACAGGAGGTTTTTGAGGAAAGGTAGGATATCATGGGAGCTGTAGTTAAGAAAGGTGAAGATATTTATTCAGTAGTCTAGAAACTGGCCCAAAACTGTATTACATAAAACTTCCGCTCTCTCTGGAAAGAAGCGGAGGGAAACAGAAGTATTGGTAACTTCCTAAGTGCAGGCATATGCTAGGCATTTTAATTTAATTCAGACTCCTCTGTGAGATTATTCTCATCTTACAAATGAGGAAACAGAGGCTCACTGAAACTTGGAACCCAGCTCTATCTGACCCAAAGCTTCTGGTCTCTCTATTTCATCCATGAGTGGTTTTGCATTTTTCCACAGGGCAGCCACCATAACTGCCCATGGTTTCCTACTGCTAAATGCAAATATTTGAATTGCCTTAGGAAAGGCATAATGCAGAGTGATTGCTTAGAGAGTCTCTTCCTGGTGGGCCCTGCTAAGAAGACAAAATGCCCTGGATCTGACCCTGAGGGGATAAATGCCCTCCTTGGGGTTGGCCACAGCTGAGTGAGTGAGGCAGGGACAAACTGGAATGGGTTTGGAGGAAAATGGGGACAGGACAAGAAAACCAAAGGAAGTGCCATGTGGAGCCCAATGGGCTGGCTTCCCTGTGACTGCTAAGCAAAGGCGGAGTCGGCTCCAAAGTGCTTGGGAAAATGACAACTGGCAAAACTCATACTGAGGGGTAATGATGCTGTCAGATGCACTGCCTGGTGCTAAGGGCTTGGAAGTTCTGCCAACAGGATTCATTATGAATGTGTAATTTGCTGAACATTGTTAAGCCAATGTTTCCCCCAACTGGGGATGACAGGCAAGTGTGCCTTCAGTGCCCCCTCCTAAGAGCTGCCAGGTCTACGTTGCCATGCAAGCAACAGTGGTAAGAGGGGCCCCCGAGTCTTACAGTGCCCTCAGCTATACCTCAGAGGGCCTTGCCCACACTGAAGGACTTCCTGGTGTGATGCCCTCCCCACTAGGGCCCATCTCCTGGAATTCTATCCCAGTTCAGAGCCCCACTCAAATCTGATTTCTTCCAGAAAGCCTTTTCCGACCAGCCACCTCCCCATGCGTGTTTCCAGCCCTCAGCTCATTTCCCCAACCTTCCTGGACTTCCCTTTCAAAGGGAGCTGAGCACAATTTGCCTAATACAGCGAACTGTCTATCTCTCTCCTCTTGACTTGGGGGCTCTTCTGGAGCAAGATCTGTCTGATTGCTTTCTCATTATTGATCTCCCTACATGCAACCATTTAAATGGAAGAAGCTATTTACATTTCTATGGGATGAATAGATGAACAACTGTGTCATTTGCTTATGGACAACAGGATGAAACGTGGAAAGATGGGTGAATGAGGTCTGGACCAGTGGGTCTGTGCAGCACAGGGAACAGCTGAGCATTCCCCTGTGTATGGCTCCACTCCCCACTCCAGGAAGAAATCTGGGCGTAATGATGAGTGAAGAGGGCTCAGCACAAAGAAGACACTGGACTGACTGTCCCAACAAGAGTCCTTAGAGATTATTTAGCTCTTACATCTTTTGTGATGAGGAAACAGGCCCAGAGAAGGGAAACATCTGTTATGAGGATGCATCACAGGGGCCAGTGGTGGGGCTAGAACTGAGGTCCAGCCCAGGGCTAACTTCTGTTTGCTGTCCTGTGGCCATAATTTGAATTTGGCCATGACGGTCTCAGGGGTGTAGGTACATGTATAATTCATCAAATATTTTTCCAGGAATTTCACTGTACTTTTTCCAAGTAACTTAAAAAATTGCTTTCAACAATTCCTGTTTCCTATCTCAATTAGTATTTTCCATGCACTTGCTAAATAATCCCTTGCTGAAGATTTGAGAAATCACTCCTGCCAATGGTACCTTCACACAGCCATAGACCTTCTTGTTCCACTGAAATTGGCCTTCCTGGCTATTGGTGGATGGTGATGAATTGTGGGGCAAGATGCTGCAGTATGAAGTCTGAGCTCCAAAAAAAAGAGAGGGGAAGATGGGAACAGTGATGGGGTGGATTTGGGAGTGAGGACAAAGAAGGATGAGGATGGCCTAGGGAGTTAAGGGAATGAAGAGGAGATGGGGTGAGGAGGAGCTGAGGAGAGGAAAGTTGCCTCACTGCACTGCACTGCACTGCACTGGAAGCACCTTCACCCAAGGTTGGGTATCTTATTCATCTCTGTATCCCTAGAACTGGGGACTGAGCCCTGGGCCTGACTCAGACAAGGGCTTTGGAAACTCTTCCTTGAGGGAGTGAATGTACTGTAGAATGGGCACATCCACCGTCTGGGAAACGAAGGAATTGCTGTTACTCAGAGCTGCCTGTCCCCTTCCAGCAACATGTTAAAGCCCAGAGGCAACCTGGGATGCATTTCAGAGTCATCTTGGAGCTTTTTCAAAGTATAGATGTTGGTCTCACCTCCTTTACACTGAATCAGAAGAGGGAGGGATGGGCCCCATCAGGTGAATCAAAAATGCATACTCCTGTGGTTGGGGACCATTCTGTCACAGTCTTCCTCCTTCCCTGGCCTCTTCTGTAGATGACCTTGCATTGACTGCAGGTTCATCTCTTTGTCATAGCTGGGATCATCCATTTAGTAAGGTTTGATGGAACTGAATGTCTATGTGTATTTTCCTAACCATAAGAACCATTACCCAGCATCCCACAGTCAGCCCCAACCTCAGCCTCTGATGGAGAACTGATGGATGTACATGGAGGCGGAAGGGGCCTTTACACTGTGGAGCACTTAGGGAGGGGGGCTCCCTGCTCAGCAGCTTTGCTGGCCAGTCCCCGAGACAAGCCACAGAAATCACATGGCTATCAGGCAGCCTCTGGGGCCACCTCTGCTTCCCTTCTTGGGGTTGAGAGGCTTCAGCCTCCAAAAAGGACCATGCGGCAAAGAGATTATTTTCCTGAAGGGGGTCAAAATCAAGGACAGCCAGAACTTCAAAACACATCTATCCCTCTCCTCATTCTCACGGTATGCATAGGCACGTGCATGTGTGTGAGTGAGAGCACACACACACAGAGTGCATGAAGAACATGGTTTGTCAAAGTCCTCTCCCTGACAAATGACAAAGTCTTGCCTTGCATTGCCCACCTCTGTGTGTATCATATATTCTGATATTAATCTGAGAACATAAAGAAAGTCCCCTGAACAGGCCCTAAAACCTCATCACTATTACTTTGGTTTTCCTGATAAACTATAAATCCCTTAGCAGGATGTACGCATTAAATATAATCAGTCACTGACATGTTAATATTAATAAATTGATGAGAGACATTTGGGGGAGCAGGTTTGGGTGAGGGCAGGACAAGAGTATAGCAGTGGGGCATGGGGTGGGGATTACAGAGCAGAGAGCAAGGCATGGAGCAGTGGAAGTGGGGGTGCTGGAGACGGAGCTGGCTCCTTTCGCACCTTGAGCCACCACTGTCCTCTTCAGAGAGTTCTGGAGTTGGCCCAGTCTGGGGAGTTTGGGAAAATCCTCCAAACCTCCTCTTAGTCTACTCTTTGACCAAGTTCAAGGCCCCCTTCCTGGATGGAGCCTATCCCCACAGCAGTCATATGTGAGTGCACTACCCCACATTTAGTGATGTGGCATGATCATCCTTCATCTTATCTCTATTCAAGCTTTGTCTTTCAGCATAATCACTGACACCCTCACCACAGAGCTGGGTGTAAGGCATTGCTGTCTCCATCATTCAGATGAAGTAACTGAGGCTCAAATGGTTTATGTCATTTGTCACACAGCAAGAGTCAGAGCTGGGAAATGTGAAGTTAGAACCTATGCGCAGCTTAGTCATTCACTAGTTGTGTGTCCTTAGACATGTTACTTCCTCTCCTTGTGCCTCGATTGCCTCATCTGTAAAATGGGGATAATAATGGTATCTAGGGCAGAAGGCTGTTGTATGAATTAAACAGATAACACAGAGAACATGTATAGCATAGTACCCAGGTACACAGCGAATGCTACATAAGCATTTGCTGTAATTATTGCTCTTGTTTTTGTTCAATACTGTTTCCAAGGGATCCTATCTCCTTCTCTGTTTCTCTCATAGCATCTATTTAACACATAGTAGGGTCTCAATAAACATTAGCTCCCTTCTTTTTCCCTTTCCTTTATTTTTCTGAAAACTACCAGCAGGATCAGAAAATGCCACAACTGCTTGATCTATCAAGCAAAGATTTTCTTCTTCCTTGGGAAAAGGAGCCAACCCTGGCACTACTGGATCAAAGCATGCAGAGTTCAGGGCCTTGAACTGTGGCCCTTGCCTGGCTAGAGTTCAGAGGAAGGTTCCCTGGAGATGGAGAGCCAAGCCCCTGTCATCTGGATGCTTCCAGTCCCATGTCACTGACACATCGCAATCCGCATCATGTTCTCTGTCCTCAACAGGGCTGTTCTGATAAAAGGCTGACTAATGGGCAGGAAGGGGAATGTCTTGCCAGTGTGCTTGTTTCCATTAGATTATGGATGTATTTTTAGAGTGGCTGAGAAATATCTAGGATCTTGCCTTGCAAGATGATTTTGCGGACTAGGACTGGGAAGAAATAAATCTTAGCAAGAAAAAAAAAAGATTGCAAGTGCTTCCTGCTGCTGGGAGTTCCTTCTTTTCATCACCACCTGGTTCACTATATTCAGATATGGCTTGAGTGTTATTTCTTCTGAGAGGCCTTCCTGGAGCCTCTTCCAGCACCACCCATTTTTCACAGCCTCTTGGGCCACATTTGTCTCACTGTATTATTATTGCCAGTCCACTTGGTGGACTCCCTCATTGATTGAGCTCTTTGAGGGCAGGAGTCATGGCTGTTGGTTCATTCCAGAATCCTAATTTGAGGCTTTTATAGAGTAGATGCTCAATAATGTTCAACAAATACATGGATGGATGAAGTACAAAGATCAAACAGTCATTCTGTATCAGTAAATCTGACTATGAGTGTGACTGCAGGCCCAAGCCCCTGTGTTTCAGCATCTCTCACGCTAGGTGTTTGTCCCTTACCCTATGTGGCACTGCCTGATGCCCCTGCTGGCCTGCTCATTATGTGATATTCAAGTAATGCGATTAAATAAAGACCTCTGTTGCCAGACTGACACACAGCAAGAAACAAAAGTAGTAGTTACAGTCAACCAGTCCAGTGGCACAGCCTGCCGGGCTCCATGTGGGGATAAAGGCTGGGGAGTGGGTGCAGGAAAAGGGTAGAGATGATGGCAGTGGGGGGTTGTGTAAGCTATCAACTTATGGATAACAGTTTCTCTTGTTTTCAAAATGAACCCCATCACCTACAGCATATGAAGTGATCAATTGGTGGGACCTTTATGGTCACAGTATAATTCTCTCTATTTGGATGAAGTTTCTCTCAGTCCTCAGTGCCTCAGACAGAGCAAAGCCCTGGGGAAGCTGTCAGGTCCAGCCCAGGCAGCAGAACAGGGTATTTTAGCACTAACCACTCTTGATAATGCAGAAGCATACAGAGTGAGTCCATTCCTGCTTGTTAGGGCCTCAAATCCCATCTGCAAGGAAGAAAGCTGACATAGCTGCACATCTTGCACTTGACCTTCAGAAGAGAGGCTGATGACAGAAAGAAGCCCTCCAAAAATGTACCCACTGAGCAGAGACTGCTAGCTATCCCCATTATCTAGTCTTCTTTTCTTCCATAGTAACTGACTTTTAACTGAACATGTGGCCAACCAAAATGAAGGCTACTTTTCCAGTGTTCTCTGCGGCTAGCTATTGCCCTGAGATTAGGTCTTGGACATAGGCTGAAGTGATGTACACTCTTTCTGGGTCTTGACCCTGAGGGGAAGGACATGCTCCCCTACTCCTCTGTCTTCTCCTTCCTACCAGCTTATGTGACACTGTGGTGAGCCAGGTAAGGTCATGAATCACAGCAACACCCTAGGAAGGAGCACGAAAAGAGAAAGAGACCGAGGCCTTGAGGACTCACAGAGCACAGCTACCAAACCGGCTTGGACTTTCCCCATGAGAAAATTAATCTTCAGTCATGTCGACACCATGTGAGTCTCTGTCACAGTTAAACTTAGATCCTAACTAAGGCACCCACATCAATGAACTGAATATATATATGTGCATGTGTGTATGTATGTATGTAGAAAATCAGACACACACGCACACACACACAGTCAGCAGGTTCTTTATATCTCCTCCATTGCAAGTTATGAATTTAATAGAATTTTAGTCCTTTAAGGGAGTCATTCATCCCTTCAAATGATAAACACATATTAACATACATCCCTAACACAAAATAATGGGACATCTATGACAGCTTGGAAATCGTAAAACTAAATGGTGAGATTGATTCTTGGGGAAATGGTCATTCCTGCCTGATATGTATTATTATTATTCTCTGTCAACCAGAATCCCCATTTTCCCAATGTTTTCATCATCAGTCTCGCCATGAAGACTTTTGTATTGAGATAGGTGCTCCAGGTGTCTAATGCTACCCACTTCCAAATGTCACCACCATTCCCTTATCCTGAAAGCTGAACAGACAACAGCCACAACTCTGTTCACCCCCAGGATACCCCTTGACTCTTCCTGGTTGGTCTGGTCTTATGTAATCTTTCCCAAAGCCAGCTAGAGCTTCATCCAGTGGGTTACCCTGGCAACCCAGCTGTGTCATCTTGAAAGATGTCTCCGGGCACCAGCTTTGAAGTCTGCAAGAGATTTGACTGGGGCTGAGCTGTGAAGCCACGACATATTAGCTTTAACACGATGTCATCATTTATCGTGCTCCTGGTAGACATGTCACATTTTTTAAAAGAACATGGATAAAAATAAGTACTACCTTGACTATGCAGTGAGATTTACTTAGAAAGCAGACACAGCTATCTATTTTCAGAGACCAACTTTGTCTTTTATGGTCTTCCTTGCATTTCTTCTAAAAGAAAATCATTTCAGTGTTCACATTTTTCTCTGAATATCTCGTTACAAACTCCAACATAAGCAGCCTAATTTCAAGTCATCAGATAGCCTTTTCATACTGGGCATGTCAAGTTTTACAGTTTATCTTTTCATTTCCTCTTTGGGAAAATAGTATTTAAGGAAGTTCATTGACAACTCTCTTTTGCTGGTAAGTACCTCCCGTAGTCATAAGAAAATTAGCTAGCTACTTGACTCTCAGAATGGGGGATGTTATGTTATTCTGTTATGTTATGTTGCATATTACTTATTTAAACATTCTGTATTGAAAAGGTTCATTGAGAATCTCTGTAGCTCATTATTCTGGATAACACTCTTTAAATGTTTCATTTCTTTCACTTATTCTTTCAACTGAGTTTCAGTTAAGCTATGAAACAGAGTCCTTTATTCATTTGTTAATTTATTATTTCATCCAACTAATTTTTGTTATTGATTGCTGGGGATACAGAGATGACTAAGACACAGTCCCTGACCTTGTGGGTAGCTGGACAAAAAAATAGCCACAATGTCAAGGGACCTGTGCTATAGGGACAGGCATGCCTAGCAGAGATTGAGTGACAGCTGCACGTGATTTCTAGAATCTTGCTGTTGGAAGGGAACTTAAGAAGTGACATGGTTCAACTCCCTCTCTTTACAAAGGAAGACATTGAGGTCACACCTGCCTCTCCTACTCACTGACCACTCTTCTCACTCATATTGAACTTCATTCTGTCCCTTGAACAGGGTGTTCACTCCCATCTCTGCCTTTGTACCACATTTTATTCATTTTTGTATCTCCAGATCAAAGTAGGAGGTGGAGACAAAAAAAATGTTTCATTTCGCCTCACAAATACTCTTTGAAGGTGGTAGAGCAGGGATTACTAGCCCTCTTTAATAAATTGAGACTCTATAACCCAGACAGGTTTGTAACTGGCCCAGATCAACTCGCTAGCAACAGTCCTCACCAAGTTCAGGGCCTCCTGGCTCAGCCCCATTCTCCTTCATATTAAGTAGGATGCTTTCTCTTGCAAGGAACATAAGACCCCACTAAGACAGGCCTTGACACAAAGGGTTAATTATCCCACACAGCATGTGGCCCAGGTCCTGTTTCAGGACTAATTCTGCAGCTCAGGGATGTTCCCAGTCCCTTTCTACTCTGCCATGTTCAGCTTGGAGGCCTTATCTCCCCTCACCATTGAAAGTTAGCTGTGGCAACTCCAGGCATCACACAGACACGATAAAATCCAGCAGGCTTGTCTGGATGAAAGAAAAACCTTTTCCAGAATCCTTCCCACCCCAGAAGACCTTTTCTCAGATCCCTTTTGACCAGGATTGGGTAACTTACATATGTCTTTCATGCAAAGTAGACCAGTAAAGCATGTAACTGGATTTTTAGCCTCTATTTTGAGAGGTAGGCCACTACTAGAGAGGAAGGGATAGGGACCATCTGGTAGGTAACCAACAGTGTCTGGTGTCTCATTTAATCAAGCCCCCTCTCTCTGGCTCCTCAGTGCCAGGCATGAGGACCTATGATCCCAGTTTATGGTCATGAAGTCTGCTAGAGAGGGAAGTTGTAATTCCTCATGGTGGGCTTCTCCAACCTCACAGTCATAGCCCACCTTGGTTTTCTTCTGACTCAACTCCAGTGCTGTCAACAAGGAACCTAAGCTAGAAGTGTAGGCACTGTCAGACCCTCAGCCTCCTGGCCCTCACCACTGCTCTGGGAAGCAGGTGAAGCAGGTCATCATCCCATTTGTTTGATGAGAAAACTCGGACTTGGAGGATGAAGGACTTGCCTACAGCCAAACAGCTGGACAGTGCAGAGCCAGGACTTGGACTCATTTCTGTCTGACTCCAGCCCCCGACTCTTCACTTCTCTGCATTTCATCCTAGGAGCCACTTGGAACCATATCAGACGTTTATGTCAATGTTTTAAATCTGAAGACTATAGGAAAGGAAAGCACACAAACCACTCTTATTAGTGGGGATGAGGATCACCTGAGATCTCCATCAAGGCTCTCTCTACCAGGTAAAGAGCATTGGCAATGGAGTCCAACTGCTGGGTTTCAATGCTGTGTGACCTTGGGATAGTTACTTAACTACTTTGTGCCTTAGTTTCCTCATTTGTAAAATGGGGCAAATAATAATAGCACCAACCTCAAATACCCTTATGAGGATGAAATGAGTTAATATATGCAGAGTGCTTGGAACAATGCCTGACGCACACTGAGCATTCAACGAATGTTGGCTAGTATTCTCTGTCTATTATTCATCTATGCATCTAGTCATCCTTTGATTTACTTTAGAAAGGACGTAAAGTATCTGGTTTTCTATGGTGTTTTATGTGGTAAAGCCAACCAGACTCCCTGCCTGCATTCCCAGGGTATGGCAGCCTGCCTGGAGCCAACAGTAAATTTGATGGCTGCACGGGGATAACAGACACCTTTCCTGCCACCTACACTCCAATATTTCCAAGTTTCAGGATGCTTGGTGTCAAATGTGATCCTGTCCCTCTGGGTCAGCCCTGAGAGGGGGCTCTGCACATGCCCCTAACACTCTGCCTGGGTTGTTTTGTTGAGGGAAAATTGTATTCTCCGAGAGCCTTTCTCTTGCATCAGTGTAATACCTTCAAGGCTGTTACCAGCTGCTGCGGAGGGGCTCAAGGAGCAGAAGGTTTCCTCCTCTGCTGGCTTACCCGCCGAGTCGCTGGGAGGATTCCCTGGTGCCTGCACCAGGGACAGCCTTTTCACTTCCTCCTTAAACTTTTTTTCACATAGAAGCAGTGGTGACTGGGTCAGCCTTGTAGGGGTTCTGGGGAAGGCTGGGAAGGCTGGTTCACATGGATTGGAGGCCAAGACAGTTTCCATACCACCAAGGGGGCATAGTCCCCTGGAGCAGATCCTAACTTGATGCTGTGCAGAGAAGGATCTTTGCTGCATAATCAGACAGCAGTGCCAGCTTCCTCAACCCCATACTCTATCCCCAGTCATAATTAGAGTGACCTTTACCATTTATTGAGCAGTTGAATAGCAGACACTTGTAAAGTAGATATGAAGAGCCATTGGGCAGCTGCAGAATCTAAAATGAGGGAAGTGAAGGCCATTGCCCTAAAACTCACAGCTCCCAAGGGGCAGAACCTGGATTCAAACCCTGTAAGAACCCTGTGTCTTACTCCAGGGCTACTCTCTCCACAGAGCAGCTGCCTTTTCAGCTATTACTTAACACGTATTCCAAGCTGTTGTCTCTGCCTCGGATAGAGAGAACCAAGCCCAAAATGATAGTATGTATAGCTTCACCACACATCTTTGTGCCATTTAGTAATAAAAAATATACAGGAGAAAAAAAGAAACCACCCAAATGAACAAACATAGGACAACAACCATCTTGCACTGGTCCCTAAAAACACTGTGAGCCACACTGATAAAACAACCCATTTGTCTTTGCTTTCAGACCAAAATGTTTTGAGTATGCTTCTTTATTTCAGACTGAAGGTATTTCACCTACAATATTGGGGATCTGACCCCAGGGGCCACCTGTAGCAGCCAGGCCCAGCTGGTTCTCACGGGAACACCGTGTTACTGTTTTTACCCGGAAAGTTGGTCAATCCACTTTTTACTCAGCAAGTCATCACCAGCTTCTCTCTGCGGAAAGTGGCAGAAACAAAGGCCAAGGAAGGGCCTCCTCCCTAAGCAAGTGGAGGGCTCAGGGCAGGCAGCTCTGGCTGGGATCTGTACTGCCAGCTCTGGCTGGGATGACACCACAAGACTAGGCTGGTGGGCTGGGGTCGGCCTCTGCCGATAAAGGCTGACTAAGCAGACAGACCACATGAGGGAAATCCCAACATGCCCCTGAGCAGGGAGGGGCCTGGCATTCCAGGATCAAGGCCCTGCCCACCGCCTGCTCCTCTGCTCCCCTGCTCATCACCTGCTCAGTGCAAGGAGTGTTTTTACCCTCCCTGTTTGTCTAAGTCCTTTCTGGATGTCAGCTTCAGCTCCTGCACCACACCCTCTGCCCTGCTGGACGCCCTCAACCTGCTCTCTCCCTTCCTGTTCTTTGAGCTCCCAAGGCCGCAGCTCACCTACACCCACACTTAGCTCTTGGGCTGTTGCTGCAGTTGCCAGTTTTGAAGGCTTTATCTTCCCAGATGGCCTGGGATATCCATGGATGTCCTACCTGCTGACCCCCCTGGTGTTGAGTCTAGTACTGTACACACAAGGTACAGACAATAAATTCTTCATGAGTAACTTGAGTCATCTTGGGCTCTAAGTCATTCTCCTGAAGGCACAATGCAAGCTCCTGTATCTTCATCCCTTGAGTCACTGGGACATTTATGAGGAAAAATGAAAATTAACTTTTCCTTCTTGGTATTGTCCATCATGTTGTTTTAAGAATACAACCCCAGGCCACCAGAATTTCCATTGTCCTCTAACACGTTTGGCAGTTTGTGGATTAGTTGTCTATGCAGAAAACCATCTGATCGCCTTGTATACCACATTCAGGACCTTAGGACTTTTGTGACATTTGATGCCCTCTGTGACCTGGCTCTACCCATATCTTCATCTCACTTTCCCCCTGATACTTCTTTGGTTACCTGACATTTCAGCCAACAGAACTCCTTGCTATTTCCCACATCATCCCCCTGTCTTCCTGCCTGATAGAGTCTGAATGTTTGTGTCCCCTGCAACATTCACATGTTGAAACCTAATCCCCAAGGTGATGTTCTTAGGAGATAGGTTCTTTGGGAGGGGACTAGGTGCAACCCTCATGAATGGGATTAGTGCCCTTATAAAAGAGGCCTCGGAGAGCTCACTGGCCTCTTTCACCATGTGAGGACACAGCAAGAAAGAGTCATTTATGAACCAGAGAGGGGGCCCTCAGCAGACACTGAATCTGCCCTGGTCTTGGACTTGCCAGCATCAAGAACTGTGAGAAGTGTATTTCTGTTGTTTATCACTACTTGGTTTATGGTGTTTTGTTACAGCAGCTCAAATGAACTGAGACTCTGCCCTTGTGCCCTTTCTTAGGTTGTCTCTCTGTTAGGAATGACATCCTTGCAGCTACAAATCTACCTAAATTTCAAGGTGTCTTGAAATCTTCAGTGAAGTTATTTATACAGAAACTTCTTAGGCTAGAAAATCTGCACCTATGTTGGGGCAAACGTTACTTTGTATCTCTTCTAGCTATTTACACAGATTGTTAAGAGTTTCTCCTAGGCTGTGAGGCCCTTAGAGTAGGGTAAGAGTCTGACTCAAATTCCACACACTCCATAGCTCTTGGCTACAGACTCCTTTTAGACGCCATTCTATAGTTGTTTGTTGAAGGTGGACGACAACTAATAGCTTCTCTATTACTACAAAGGGATTCCTCCCTTTGACATTTTATTTTATTTTATTTTATTTTTTTATTTTATTTTATTTTATATTTATGTTTTTGAGATGGAGTCTTACTCTGTCTTCCAGCTTGGGGTGCAATGGCGTGATCTTGGCTCAATGCAACTGCCGCCTCCTAGGTTTAAGCAATTCTCCTGCCTCAGCCTCCCCAGTAGCTGGGATTACAGGCATGCACCATACCTGGCTAATTTTTATATCTTTAGTAGAGACAGAGTTTCGCCGTGTTGGCCAGGCTGGTCTCAAACTCCTGGCCTCAGGTGATCCACCCGCCTCGGCATCCCAAAGTGCTGGGATTACAGGCGTGAGCCACCACACCCGGCTGCTTTGACATTTTAGACAGGGAAAGTTGGTCGTAAAATAGCCCAAAATCTGTCTATCACTCCCCCAGTTATAATAGGACTGGATTTCACCTGTGAGGGGAGAAGCTGACCTGGAGTTCAGGGCAGGGTCAGATTCACAGAAATATCACAGTAGTCATGAGAATGGAGCCACAAGCTTCATAACAACCCTCAGAGAGAAACAGTCAATGGCCCAGGAATCCTTCCAATTGGACACCAAAGATGGAAGAATCAGTAAGACAGAAAGCCTTCTTCCCGCAGGTGCTCCATGGGCCACTGGAGG
The DNA here is from genome assembly GCF_000001405.40 of Homo sapiens. Lineage (NCBI taxonomy): Eukaryota > Metazoa > Chordata > Mammalia > Primates > Hominidae > Homo > Homo sapiens. The sequence continues at coordinate 17,602,160 of NC_000002.12, read as the reverse complement.
GCAGGGGTAACTGACTCCCACCTAGGTGAGTTGGTCATTCACAGACCCAAGGTGGGTCAGTGATAGCCAGATCCCAAATCCAGATCACCATTTCAAAATGTTAGAAGAGTCCACTAACGTAAAACAGCTTTTCACTGAGAAATCCAGACATGATTTTGCATGTTCAAGTCCAATTCTGTAATAGAAATGTGCTAATTCTTCCTCTTTTTTTTCTTTTACTTTTTTTAGGTGGAGTCTCGCTCTGTCATTCAGGCTGGAGTGCGGTGGCACAATCTCGGCTCACTGCAACCTCTGCCTCCCGGGTTCAAGCAATTCTTGTGCCCTCAGCCTCCCGAGTAGCTGGGACTACAGGTGCATGCCACCACACCCAGCTAATTTTTGTATTTCTAGTAGAGACGGGGTTTCTCCATGTTGGCCAGGCTGGTCTCGAACTCCAGACCTCATGTGATTCGCCCATCTCGGCCTCCCAAAGTGCTGGGATTACAGGCATGAGCCACCATGCCTGGCCTATTTATTTATTTTTTTGAGATGGAGTCTCACTCTGTCGTACAGGCTGGAGTGCAATGGCGTGATCTTGGCTCACTGCAACTGCTGCCTCCTAGGTTTAAGCAATTCTTCTGCCTCAGCCTCCCCAGTAGTTGGGATTACAGACATGCACCATGATACCTGGCTGATTTTTGTGTTTTTAATAGAGACAGAGTTTCACCATGTTGGCCAGGCTGGTCTCAAACTCCTGACTTCAGGTGATCCACCCACCTAGGCCTCCCAAAGTGCTGGGATTACAGGTGTGAGCCACCATGCCTGGCTGCTTTGACATTTCTTCTATTGCAATTAGAAATGGAGTGTCCTTGAGCAATCTGCTGCAGAGAATTACTAACGGGACAGCACATCCTTCTAGCTTTAAACCCTCATTCAAGGGCTTCAATGTCCTTATTTGTAAAATGGGGGAGGGAGTGGACTGAGAGACTTCTAAAGGGCTCTTTCCAACCTTATCCTGAGGGCAGAGAGGTTGAGGTGCCATCTAAGAGCAATTCCTTCAGGATGCCACAGTCACAATAACCACTGATATCTCTCTAAATGACACCTGCCCTACCATGGGAAAGCAAAATCCCAAGGTGTGGAAGCCATCCAAAATAACTTCACACCCTTGGAGACAGGGGAAGGTTATCATTTTGACCCCTGTGGGGTAATTGCTGTCTCTAATGCTGGTAGCTAGCTATTCCCTGAGACAATATCACCATAATAAAATACTGTTGGAGCCTCACATGGGACCTTGTTTTCTCAGAACTCTAGATTATTATTGTCTTTTCCTTGAGATTTCAGACCCCAGCTCTTGTCTTCCCCATTAATTCAAGTTGAATGCAGCCTCAATCATATTGGCAAACATTCCAAGTGGAAATACATGCTAAAAATTGCAACATCCTCACTAGCCCTGTCTGGATGACATTATGTATTTCATGTAATGTCTATTCCTTAAGGAATTAAAACCCTTCTATATACAGCTCTGCCCAATGAATTTTTAATAAAGTCTGCTCCTAACCACATCTTAGTAACAAACAGAATCTGAATCCCTAAAAACTGGTCATCCCCAAATCTTTTTTGAAATGTTTTATATTCAAAATTATTTGAATCAGATGTTGAGAAGAGGCAGTAGTCATCTCTGTCACATTTTCTTTTGATAAAATATCTGATGAGAGAAAATTCTTGATGCCACAGCCCAATAAACTGGACTATTTGGCATCTGGATATCCTCCCATGCTGAGGTACCTAACACCAAGTCACTGATAAGCCTCACCTGTGCAAGATGATTCAATGCTTATGAAGCACTTTTGCTCTCACCACCCTCCTATCTCAACAAGAGCCCACGAAATAAGCAAGGCCCAGAGTGTTATTCTCATTTGACAGGTGAGAAAACTGAGGGGCAGAGTGGTCTGTGGATTTATTTAACAAACCTTAAGCATAAAGGACTTTCCCATATTCACACTGCTAGTGTATGGCAGAACCAGGTGCACATCCAGGCTTCTAATTAAAATCACACTGCATTTACCTGTATTCAGGTTGCAGAACAGAATGTCCTTGCTAAAAGTTGGGACAGATGCACACCAAAGTCTTGGGAACACAGAGGGAAGAGACTCTTTTGGCTTTGGGAATTGGAGAGGTCAAGAAATGATTTCCCAGGGAGAAGCTTTTGAACTGATCCTGGAAAGATGGCTAGGATGGAGCAACATGATGTGCATTCTGCTCTACCACAAGATAAACTGGAGAACCTCCCAGATGCCTGCTCCTGAATGTGACTCCCAGGACACAGGAAGCATGAAAAGGTGGCAAGAAGGCTGGGCTGAGTGACTCAGGTGTTTGTCTCCACTCACCACTTTGTAACCTCAGCCAAGTCTCCTGACTTCCCAACCTCTATGGCTTAAAGTGAAGGAAATGCTATCTCTAAGATCGATTTCATAGGCCTTGGTGAAATCAAGTAAGCCACTGGTCAGACTGACAGGGGTTAGAATAATTGGAAAGGAAGGGAATAAAGAAGACAAGAGAGAGAGAACAAGAGAGAAAAGAGGGAGTGAGAAACAAGGGAGAGACCTATGGCAGAAGCCCCAGAAGTATTCAAGCTTTTTCTTCCACAGATTGTTTTCAGGTTGTTGATCTCAGCAAGGCTGCCAAGACGTTTTTGATTATTTTTGATTTTTGAATTTTTGTTTCAACCTAACATACTTGACCCAGTGGGCCTCCAGCCAACACAATAGGAACAGGGGCTCAAAAACACAATAATCATTTTTAAATTCAAATTTTTATTGTCTTAGTCAATGAGATTTTTTAGTTTCTAGACAGACTGATGGGTCCTCATGTTCAAATTCACCTTCTTTTGTGGATTAGCTTGAATGTCACCTTCCTAACCAGCCCTCTCTGACCCTCCAGGCCCTTCCTTGTCTTTCCTGTTCCTGATCACAATCAACCCAGTGTGATAGCTGTTCATATATGTATTTTTTTACCCTATCTTCACTATAGGTTTCTGGATGGCACCAGACCATAGTCACCTAGGCAGGGATTTGTGGTGTTTTCCTCTGCAGACCCAGGGCCTACACAGCCCCTGGCACATAGAAGTGCTCAGGAGGACTGCAAAGCAGGGGCTGCGTTTTATCCCACTGGAGACTCCCTCTGCATTAGCGTGGAGCTATAGACAAAATAAAGCTTGATTGGTGGGCCATAAATGAATCAGTCAAACATCATCTACATAGTAAAAACCAATTTAACAAAACAAAGCCTGGAAGCTTTTATTTGTATTCTTATGCCAGTGAAGTTTGTTTGAAAGTATAACTTAGAAGGGGATTTTGCTGCATTTGTCTTAGTGCCAATTAAGACTCAATAACCACTGTTATGGAACCTAGAATGTTACGTCTGCCAATGGTTAGAAACACTTTTAGTGACTCTTATCCTTTCTTGGGACTACAGAATCCTCAATGAATCTGATTAAAGCTACCCCAAGAGAGTTTATATATAAAATTTTACTTGCGACTTCAGTGTGGGCAGAACTCCTGAAGCCTATTTAAACATACTTCCAGGTTAAGACCTAGATTAGTGTTTTTCAAAATGTCACTTATAGATTTTGTCCTTTAGAACCACCTGGCAGGTCTTACTAAGAATACAGATATTGGGTCTCTAATTCCAGTGAACTAGCAACCTGAGGAAGGGGCCTAGCAATCTGCCAACTGAGCAGTCAACCCAAGTGATTCTGAGATGCGTTACAGTTTGAAAGCCACCTACATAGACCAATGTTTTCATTTGCACAGATGCTGAACTTAGAACCAGAAAAACAAAGGCACTTGTTCAAATCCCACAGCAAACAGTGCAGACCTTGATTATATATTTTATTTCATATTCTATAAGACAGAGGTTATGCACCTAAAATCCTATAATTATTATATGTTTGTGTACAACTTTAGGAAGAATGCCTTTTATTCCACGTAGTAGGTTTTTAAGCCCAGGGGCACAATTTAGAAGTAGAATTCTAAAACCACACAGAGAATTACAGAATGTTTTCATAATATCTATTAACTAGAAAAATATTTCTTATTCTATTAAAAGATTTTTACCATCAAATATTTAGGTGCTGGTCCTATAATAACATTTATTCTTATTTTGTTTTAGTACATATTCCTGGGTAGTTGTATCAACAAAATTTTGGTGAGTAAATTTGTATTTTCAATGCCTTAGGCCTGGAAAATTTCTCATTGAAGGGAATTCCACCAGTATATTTTGTTGTAAAAATAAAGATGGTTTGGTGAAGTGAAAAGCATTACTCAAAAATAAGATGATACACCAATTCCTCCAGGCTCTGAGCTTGCTCAGGGCAATTGAAGGCAATGCCCAATAAACTGTCTGTCCCACAGAAAGCACAGAGAAAATGGGTCTCAAGTGAATGAATGAACCAATGGATAAGCCTGCTCTTAGCTAGAAAAGCTGGAAGCATGTTTTCTAATGAGCAAAATACAGAAACTCCTCAGGAAATGACCACCTAGAGGGACAGGGAATGACTTGGTAGGAACTCTTGTTATATGCAAATATATTTTATTAAAATTCAAACTGTTAAATCAATGATGATCAAATTGGACTCTAGGGCTCTCTCACCTGTCTCAGGTGCACCTGTCAGTGGCCTAAGACTTTTCTAAGAAGAAAATTTGGAGCAATGGCACAAGCTGAGGCTCAGGAGAGGTGGGCCAGAGCCCAATAGAACAACCCTTGGGTACTCAGTGGCCTCTGAGGACCTCTCCCCTCATCTGCAAAATAATAAGCAGTAGAATTGAGGAAGGAAGTCTCCTTTCTGGAGGAGGGGCATGAGGGTCAGGACATTGAGAGATTGGTAGGAAATGGTAAAGAAGGCCTTAAGTGCCATCTTCATCCTATCTGGCAGCGGGAGCTGGGGAAGGGTTTGTGCTTAGGGGACACAGAGTTCGGTGTCTAAGAATCCAGGATGGGAATAGGGATGACACTGCCTCATAGTATGTCCTGCCATGACCACTGCCCCCAAACCCACAAGAATACACGGTAGACATCACTATTTGACTAGGGCACATTTTCCTGTTGAAATTTCATAGAGTCTCTCACCCTCCTCTGTGCACCATTTGGTGCTGCCATCGTACGTGGCCTGTGAAATGAAACTTATTTTCATCCTGGCTGTGTAAGTGTAAATGAGAGGATCGTCAATCAGGACAGCAAACACAACTTTTGATATGTCATAAATAGTTTTCATTTCCCTTCTTTCCTTTAAGACTCCGCTATGTGAGGTGATAAAACGGGTCTTATTATTTCCACCTTATAGACAGGGAAACAAATTCAAACTGGCAGAGATTTGGTAAATGTAACACAGCTAGGAATGACTCTCACATCTGTCAGATTCCAAATCCCATTTTTTTTAAACAACTCTGTGACTGCCTTTTCAACTGAACCTAAACCAACCCAAATGTTTCCTGATGAAAATAATCTTGAAAGTCAAACTCTAAACATAAATTAAAATCCACTTAGGGCTCTTTGCAGGATTCCTCTAGGTTTGTTTCTTGATTTCTTTGGCTTTGATGTCACAGTGGCTAAGCAAAATAGCAATGGCACCAACTCTCCAAGGTAGAGGACCCTGGGATGGAGACACTTCTTCCCTACACACTTGCTTGCTCTTCCCCTGGGTTGATTTTCTCATTAAACCGTGGCCAATTCTGTGAAAATACAGTTAAAATTGCAAACTGCCCATCTTAATTTGTGATGGATTGGCAATCAAAATGATTGTTGAAAATAGGAAATTCCCTTGGGGGGTGATCAGGTACTTGGTTCTTGGTGACAAAATTCAAACGCTTTCTTCCCAACCTATCAGCAGCAGTGCTGTGGTGGGGATGATGAAACATCTGCTATGACTTCTGTGGCCAGACACACAGAAATCCCTACGTGTCCAGGGAGTTCCAGACATCTGGGACAGAAGGCATCTTTCTATCAGATGTAGAGGGCACAGAGAACGCATGTGACAACAGAGAAGGAATAAGAATTATATTCATTTGCTCAGGCTGCCATAACAAAGCACCACAGACTGGGGGGCTTAAATCAAGATATTTATTTTCTCACAGTTCTGGAAGCTGGAAGTCCAAGAGAATGTGTTGACAACCCAAGTAGTGCCCATCAAAGGGAAAGTGGAAAATAAACAGTGGTATATTTGAACAATATAACGTTATACAGCAGTCAAAATACTTGAACTGTAGCAACAATAAGACATTAAAAAAGCAAGTCTCAAAAGATTCTAAAGTAAATACAAATTTTAAAGAATGCACTTTATAGGATTACCAATAAATGTAGCTTCTCTCCCTGGCTGGTAGATGACAGCCATCTTCTCCCTGTGCCTTCCCGTGGCCTTTCCTATGTATGTCTCTGTGTCCAAATTTCCTCTCCTAAAGACACGTCACACTGGATTAGGGCCCACTCTCATGACCTCATTTAACTTTATTACCTCTGTAAAGGATCTGTCTGCAAATACAGTCCCATTCTGAGGTACTGGGTGTTAGGACTTCAACATATGAATTTGGGGGAATATTATTCAGCTGATAACAGGCAGCAAGCTTGAAAAGGGAAAGAGCTATCTGCTAGGGGACAATTTTGTTTTCTAAAAGGTTAATAGAAAAGTCTTCCTCTCATCACTGCATTAATTAACTTCTTGTTTTAATATTCCATTTTGAAATCAACCTCTCTGCTTTCTACTCTTGCCCTACCACCAAACATTTCTGTCATTACACATTACATTGTGGTGAATCACATCTTCCCAACTTGCCTGTGAAATTCGGGAGGGCAGGCAGGACTGTCCCATAGTCACTTTTATATGCCTCCATCACAAGGCTGCCTAAGAAGGAGATGTACAGCCAGCACTTATTACATTCAGGCAAGAAATGCTTACCCACACTTGCTCCGTGGCAGGCCCTGTGCTAGCCGCTGGGTCTTAACATTGATTGAAATGAGGTGACTGTGTCTTCATGACTAAAGAGTGAAGCCTGCATCTAGCTGGGAGGGACCATGTTCAGATCTGTGTTTTACAAATCTCACTCCAGCAGCTGTATGGTGGATGGGCTGGAGGGTGTTAATGAGGAGCTGCCCTGGGAGTTTGGCTGAGAGGCAGAGCTATGTGCTGCAGTGGGAGTCAGCATTCCTGTCTTTGAAGTCTGTTCCACATTCAGTTTGTGTTGCTGGGCAAATTGCCTCATTTCTCTAAACCTCAGTTTTAAATGCTTTTAAAAATATATCTGCTGAAGGAGTTCCTTCACATTTGGAATGCAAGGGCTTTTAAAGTTGGGAGACTGTGGCCCCTGGCCTTGCAGCGGAGCCACTCCCATTATCCTGCTCCTCCTTAAACACTCATCAGAACTTGTTTTTTAGCAACCGAGTTGACTTCCTCCTGGAAAGGGAAACGGGTCTGGTAGCAAGAGGGGATGTGCCAGGTTGACTGCACACACAGGAGGGCAGAGGCTGCAGTCAGCTTTGCTCCCTCAGTTGCATCCCAAGATGCCTCAATCTCTGCACCAAAGATAGAAGGAATCACTGAATGTGCCCATTCACCAGGATAATGACCGTGTCTTGCTGAATATTTGCATTTTTTTCCAGAAACATTAAAAGAAGCTTTTTCTCATCAGCCCATCTTCTGGGCCTATTACATAATCCACATCTTTTTCCAGGCTTCTCCTTTCCAGCTTATCAGATCCGCCTTTCTTTTTTCTGTGTACGTGGCATATTTCTGCTGCGGTTTTTTTCTGTCCTTGGACAACTCTAGAAGGAGAAAAAGACTGCCTGCTTTCTATTTGATATAAGAGTACAGGCAGAGTTGGAATAAGAGTTTGCCAAAAATATAGACCTAAGTTCAGAAAGTCATATATTCCCCTCCTGGAATAAAAAACCCACTCTAGGAGTGAGATGGGGAGGTGGGAGATGATTTTGGTGCATATATATCAGTTGTACCATAAAACGCCAAGGCATGCTTAATGTTTACATGACCCCTCACCTTGAGGCTGGTGCTTTTTCAGTGCTACATACTTCCAGTGTGTAAATAAAATACCTCATTTCCTGCATTTCAACTATTTCTTCAAAGGCAATACCCCTCTCATTTTAAACAAATAGTGAGGAACGTGGCACACGGTGCTCTCTTAATCATAGGGTGACAGCTTGCATGGCCTTTAGTGATATGAAAGTGACTTTGAAAAACCTTGTTTGTCTGTACTTTCTTTGTGGTTGAGAATAGAGAGAGTTCCAAGGCATGGACTAGCCCCTAGGTGATAAAATAGAAGACATGACATTGAAAACTAGGGAGAGTAGTATGGTTATCTAGGAAATACATACTATCCCACTTCTCTGCAAAAGCAATAGACATCAATTGAGTAATAGATGCACTTTCTCAGCACTTCTATAGAAAAGATCTTGGCATGCTAATAATTGATTACCCAGATCTTCTTAGAAATGTCACAGTGATCGTATAAAATGCACACTACTTATTCTGTTGATTAGTGAGCTTTTAATGATGCAATAAACACTTGCAACAGTTATGACTTTGAACACAATATATATCTAACCACATGGCCATACCCCCAATTTCATCCCTTGGTCTTCCCCACTTGAAGTAACTTTTCGTTTGAATCTTGGGTTCATCACTTCCCTGCTTTTCTTTTTATATGATTTTATTGCATTTATTGGTAATCCTATAAAACACATTTTTAAAAATTTCTATTTCCTTTAGAATCTTTTGAGACTTGCTTTTTTAATATCTTAGTGTTGTTACAGTTCAAGTATTTTGACTGCTATATAATGTTATATTGTTCAAATATACCACTGTTTATTTTCCACTTTCCCTTTGATGGGCACTTGGGTTGTTTCCCAGTTTTACCATTGTGAATAGTGCAGCTATGAGTATTCTTACACATGCCCCTTCTTGTACAGTACAAGAATGGAATTGCTGGATCATAGGTTATAGAAAATGTTCAGCTTCAGCACATAATGATAATGCTTAATATTTTATTCAATCATTTCACATACACATATATACATCTGGGTGATTCAATATTGCTCAAATCAACATTTGCTAATTAAATGATATAAAGCAATATTTTTCTATTTGGTATTTTAATCAGAAAAAGTTTTAAAAATGTATTTCTTTCACTTGTGTAACATTACATAAGTATACACGAAGTGGAATGTCTTAGATCAGCCCAATCTAGAACCAATACAACTTGTAGACTCAGACAAGCCAAAACAATACCACTGCAGTAGAAATTGTACCTTTTATGGGACTGTTCTGTGTAATGTTCAGGGAAAGTTTAGCTTCTGAGTAGTGTACAGTGTTGAGTTATTGTCTATGTTGTAGACATTGCTGACCAGAGATACGCTACACTCCCCCACCCCTTTTCTAAATGTTCTGTTGTGGGAATCTGGGTTCTTATCTGGATACAGGAGTATCTTTTCTGGTAAAAAAAAAAAAAAAAAAAAAAAAAAAAAAAAAAAAAAAGAGAGAGAGAGAGAAAAAGCCCTCTTGTGTACTTTTTCTTTAACTGGGAGAAGTACATATACCTTTAACAGGCCAAATAATGCTGTAATTAGCAAACTGTCAATAATTATCAGCAAACACTCTTCTCTGAGCTTTTTATGGTTCTTTCACCAGATGCTGTCATTCCTTGAGCTCTATTCAGTGCTTTGATTTAACAATTACTCTTTTTGTTCAGAAATTGCTTATTTTGGGAACAACATATATACATTTGCATTTTTAAATGTTAATTTTTCTTTCTGGATGGAAAACAGCCAGAGTTGAAACAAACTAGCTACTTAGAGTTATAATTCCATGTGAGGGTACAATTTCATGAAGGCCATAGTTTCTGGCCTAAGGAATAAAAACAAGGTTGAAAAACAACTTACCTTCACATAGAGCTGCTGAAATTCCTCGAGATTTAGCCTCCCACTTGGACAGTCCTTGAGAAATCCTTTGTACCACTGCTTGAGTTCATGCTCATTAAACTCTGTGCTCTTCACCAGGTCCTCCATCACTTCAGGGGCCAGTTTGCTATTCTGCTTCCCCATCCTGCCTGAAGAAAAGCAAATTAATTCAATTAGCGCTGTGGCTGTGATCATTTCAAACTTGGTTAGGAGCCAAGCTAGAGTTCTGAGCAGTCCCATGGTCGGAACTCCCTCCAGTGTGGCTGATGCATATCTTCCCAAGTCTGCCTCCTTCTACTTGGTATTCTAGAAAAATATATGAGTGAAATAGACTCTTCTGACAGTTCCAAGGGCTGTAGCATTCACTCTTTACCTCATTGTGTCATCTTTCATATGGTGTTGACTCCCAAATGGAAGGCAACCATCCCTTTTTATGCTATTCATAGTAAGCATATAGAAGTTGTTTTTCTTTTCCTTCTACAAATTACACTTTATTAACACTTGCCTCCCAGGTGTTTAACTCTACATTTAGTTTAATGGGATACTCAGTGGGATTACTGACAAGAACAATGAGAAGACTTTATAACTAAATGATCAGTAAGTGGCTTGGAATATCCAATCAGCAATATTAAGGAGTCTCAGTTGGTCTGGTTCAAGTTGGAGCTTTTTTCCCCAATAAAAACAGCTATTTCTATTAGTCACACTAATTCTCTATTTCTCCTCTCATAATTAGAAAGTTCGTACAACATTGTCTTCAGAGTTGACAAAATCTTAATGGTTTTCTTCTAGGGATTGGTTGGGGAGTTTTTGTTGATATTATTCCAGACTGCTATTATTTCTGATTTTGAGTTAAAGTAATAGTGCATAAGATAATGTTACCTATATCCATTAAGCACCAGGTTGTGTGGCCAACATCACAGCAGGGAGTAGGGAGACAGAGCAGGCTTGAGATAATTCCTGATTTTTCTTCCTGATTTGGCCAATTACTACATGTGTTACTTAGGGCAACGTTAATTAACTGCATTATCTTCAACTTATTCATTAATAAAGCAGACATAATAATGAAGCTCTTTCAGATTCATTGTGATGGCTGATTAACAAGTAAGTAGGTAAACAAAGGCCAAAAAAAATTCCAAAATTAAAATAACTGCAGGAAAATTAAAGATAATTTTAAAATTTTCCCTTTAAAGTTGCTTTATAATAAATAATAATAAGACTATTGCTAATAATAATAATAAAAGAATTAACACATAAATTAACCCCAGATTGATTTAAAAAGTCAAGTTAAACTTGAAAATTGGAAAATTTCCAGAATCTGGAAAGTGCCAGATGATCTTTCAAATTCAGTTAAAAGATACTGAGTTAGGGTTGAAGAATTAACCAAGTGAACCTAGTCCTTCACTGTGCTTGAGACAAACTCTCTTTCAAGCTGCAGGCATGTCTACACTTGCAATAGCCTGGAAGGGGTAATCTCATCACATACTTTATTGTCATGATTTTTTAACTTCTCCTAAAACAGATTCCACACCCATTGTCAGTAACCTGCCCCAACATTGGCCAATTCTTTCACTGTAATGAAACTAAGCCACTCTTGCTACTTCCAGGGAAATTTCCACTCAGCACAATCTCGGCAGCACAAAATGCAGTCAGATGATACCATTAAGATGGCCATTTACCCTCCAAACTCGTCAGCATGAGAAAAGGGCCCAGTATCAGCAACTCTTCCCTTTGTCATGGGGCTTCTCTACTTATTTTTGCTCTGAATTCAAGTTCCAAATCTCTTATAAGCAACTGTCTATTAATTATAAGTTACTGTGGAATTCCACAGCTGGGTGTGGAAATCAAGTGGGTACTCAGGTGTCAGGTTTAATTAATGTGAGTAAGAAAACTCTAATTCATGGTTATCCTGAAAATCAAAAGATGTATTATTGTGAAACCTTTCAGTACTTTACTTTGGTTTTTTGGTAGAGAATTACAAACCTTCATTCTTAAACTAGAATCTCACCTAAGAAAAATAGCTATTTAATATTGAGTGCTGGCGATGGAGAAGGCACTTAATGGAACACCTCACAAATTTCATCTCCTGCTCAGCAATCACCGAGCAATCAGGATTAGGGGAGCTCCCTGGGGCTCAGAACGCTTATGGTAACTTGTATAAGAGCATACAATTAATGCATGGCGGAGCTAGAATTTGAACCTGGATCTATAGGACTCCAATGTCCAATCATAGACTGGTGGATGAAAGACATTTCAGGAGAAGGAACAGGAAGAGCGAAAGCAGGGAGGCTTCAGAGAACTGAATCAGTGCCTAGAGGGGATGAAAAAGGATCACTTTGCCAGCCTGGCTGCCTTGTTTGGAAAAGACTTAAATTTACCAAACCACAAGCTCAGAAGTGACTTTGTATTAAAAACCACCTCCCCCAAGTGCCTTTAGAAGTTCAACAACGTATCAGCTTCTTTGTTAGGCAAGGAAGCTTGGCTTCTCCATGGGTCACTTGTGATGTCTTAAACTGTTCCAGTTGACTTTGGAGAGGGTGGTCTCTTACACACACAGGAAATATTGTCAGGACTGTGAATCACAGTTTGGAGACTCAAGTGCATAACTTCATGCTTCTTGTATGGGTCTGCACCATCACTCAGGTGTGTTGGGCAATGGTTGAATCACACAGAAAGTCAGGTTCTGGCCTGGCTCAGAATGGCATTGCCACTGCCCTCATAGGCCTCATCAGATCTTGCCTTGATTAAAGATTGGCCTCCCCACTGGGCTACCTGACTCCAACCACTCTCCTTCTGCACAGCTGCCTGAGTGAATTTCCAGAATACAAACCTCATTGATCTACTCTCTAAAAGCCTCTGTACTTCTCCTTAGTCTCCATGATGCAACCTCATCTCCTTAGCGTGGCTCAGGTCCTGCCTACTTATATCCTCGTTTTCTGCCAATCTGTCTTTTCTCATGTGTCAGTGATTATAAACTATTATAGATTCCAGGATTGCATGCTTCCACACTTCCATGGCTCTGCATATGCTGTTCTCTTCTCCTAGAATGACTTCCCCCCATTTTCTGCTCAACAGACTTCTTCCCCTTCTTTAAATAGTCTCAATTTACACACCACCTCCTCCATGAAACCTTCGTGGACTCTCCATGGCAAACTTAGGCACCCATTCTCTTAGGTATCTCCCTTTCCTTGTAAAAGCTTCCATGATCATTATGTATTTCTCTACTGGATTGTTATTATGGTTTCTTGAGAGAGAGGACTATTATTTATTTATTTTTGCCTCTTGGTAACTCCTATTAGGTGCTCAAATAATATTTCTTGAGGACATGAATAAATAAGGGGTCTGAGATATTTGGTATTTTTTTTCTGAGAAAATGTCTCATAATCTATATATAAGGAGAGTCAATGCATTCACAAGTATAAATATAAAATGCAGTTGGCAGATGGGAGAAATATTTCATTTAACTGCATGGAAAATATTCAGCCCTCCTGGAGATTGTCTTCATCATTAAAATTGAATACCTTGCAGGTGGGACCCATGTCTTTTATCTCAGTATCTTCAGTAACTGACATAAAGGTGGTGTTTAGTAATGTGTGATAAATGAATGAAAGTGTAGTTAGATTAATACTCTCCACCTATAGTCCTTTTGCTCTGGGCTGCAGTGATATGGGCCAAGCAGTATCTTTCATTATGGGACCAGCATAACAGAAAGAGTACAAACAGTACATTTTATCACATTCCCAATAAAGAGATTCCGCTACACCATATGAGGGGGAAGCAGGCTGGCTCTGTCTCTAACTTACTCTGTGATCTTGGCCAAGATCCTTTCCTTCCTAGTTACTCCATTTCCCCATTTAAAAAATGAGGAGTTGGACCAGATGATCTTTAAGGCCTTTCCAACTCTACCATTCACTGATTTCCCACATAGGTTTTGTAAATATGAAAATATGAGTCAGACCTCCTATTGGCTTGTCTCAACACATGCAGGCTCTGTGGATTCTTGACCTGAGAACCCATCAGCATTTAAGTGTTTATTACCGAAGAAGGGAGGGGACAGAAACCGGAGTGTATTACTTTTAAGCTGGGATTTCAAGCTATAATATTAAAGCCAGCCCATCCCCAAACCAAAAGAATTTCTCACTGCTTGTGTTGTCATACAGAGAAGTTCAGTGCTAGGCACAAAACAGGACTGGTGGAAGGGCTTTGATGGACAAGAGAACTTCAAATGATAGAGCCCTTGTGGAGGAAAGCACAGTTTCACTTAATGGCAAATGATGTCCAGAGAAGATGGCACTTTTGTACACTAATTTACAAAAGGCTTTTGTGCAACAACATTGACCCATATAAACTATTGACCCCTTTTTTACAGCATTAAAAACAGTATTTTTAAAAACTGTAAAAAAGAGATTATGATTGTTTCCTTTTTACTGATGAGAACTTTGAAGGCCAGAGAGATTAAGTAATTTACCCTAGCTAAACCAGCTAGTAAGGGCTTAGTAAAGAATGCATGCAGTTCTCTCGCACCCCACTGCTTTCCTAATAGAGGCCATCATCTTCTCTCACCTGCAGGATCATCTCAAAGATACTGCAACTACCTCCCAACTGGTCTTCCTGTCTTGAGTTTCGCTCATCTCTCATCCATTTCCTACCCTGTCTTGATAGCAGGTTCCAGAGCAGAAGAGGCAGAGGATTTAAGAATGCTCCTAGAAGAGGACCAGGAGAACTTCGTGGATGTGGAAAGGGCCTACAAGGGAGCCAAGAAGCACCCATGAGCATCTTTTTTCCATAAGCCCTTTGGGTATTAAAGAGGATTGAAACAAAATATATGTGTGTGTGTGTGTGTGTGTGTGTGTGTGTGTGTGTGTGTGTGTGTTGCCCTCAGCCTGTCTCTTACCTACTGTATCTAAATCCAGTCTTCCAGAACATACCAGGGTCTGCTGAGTATGAAGAGGCACACAGAACTGCATATCCAGCTCCTCCCAGGTAATCTAGCAATCAGCCTAGCTGAATCTTAGCAAGATTCATTTAAATAAAAACTGAGTGGCTGAAATGGAGCAGTCCCACCACATGTGCAAATACATAGCAGGATAAACACAGCAGTGGGAAAACAACCTTGGAAATAGGGCTGAGAGCAAAGGAAGAAAGGGCTTTAGGGGCTCAGGTTGGAGACCTGCATGTAATGCAAGTATGGAAAGAGGCTGCAATGGGCTGGTCAGTGACAGATTACTTAGGTCAGTCTTGAATAAATCTTTTCTTTGAGCCCTAGGCTCTTCACTCATATCCTGAAACAATTGCCTTTGTAGAGACTGGCCTTCTCATGCTTAGACTTCTGCCTGGAATGCCCCTTGTGCTTTTTTCCTCCATCTATCTAAACCTTACTCCTGCTGCAAGACTCCATTCCAATCCTGTTTTCTCCATGATACTTCTCTGCCAACTGTTACTACTCCTCTCTTTTCCTTGTATTTGATATTGTGGTTAATAATGACCCATGGCATAATTAACTTGACGGAATCAGGCAGAAAACTCTCTGCACAACTAAGTTTGGCAGATGTTTGTAAGAATCTTCCAGGAGAAAAGCTCTGTGCTAGGTAAGGTGGGATATAAACAGAAAGCATGGTACCAATCTTAAAGGGCTCAGACCTGGATGCAGGAGACATTTACAAGTCTTGGAATATGAAGCATGATGAAATGAATACTCATAGTAGAGAGCTACATAACACAGAGGATAGACAAACAGACAAATACTGACCAAATCAGGCACCTTCACCTGTCACCGGTCCCCAGGTGAAACCTCTTAAGCAGTCTTTCCTAAACTTGTCTGAATACAAGAATCACCCTTGGTTCTTCCTTAAAAATACAGCTTAGTGGGTTGATCCCTTGCAGGGAAATCTGTACATTTAAAAAGCAACTCAGGGGAATATGATCATGAGTCAACTTGGGAAATGCTGCTGGAAAGCATAAATAAAAATCGAAGTACATGATCTAAGAAGCACACCCCAAACCAGCACAGACATAACCCAAGGTCTCCCTGATTCCTCACTAACCCCATCTGGCATTCCTGATGTGCTTTCAAGATCCTTGTACTGGGGACTAGCATTAAGAATTCCAAAATTGGCCGGGTGCAGTGGCTTATGCCTGTAATCCCAGCGCTTTGGGAGGCTGAGGTGGGCAGATCACCTGAGGTCAGGAGTTTGAGACCAGCCTGGCCAACATGGTGAAACCCTGTCTCTACTGAAAATATAAAAATTAGCCAGGTGTGGTGGTGGGCACCTGTAATCCCAGCTACTCGGGAGGCTGAGACAGGAGAATTGCTTGAACCAGGGAGGTGGAGAAGGTTGCAGTGAGCCAAGATCGCACCATTGTACTCCAGCCTGGGTGACAAGAGTGAAACTCTGCCTCAAAAAAAAAAAAAAGAAAAAAAGAATTCCAAGATCACACAAGGGAAGACCAAAGCTTGAAAAGATTTGCCTGTAGGCTCCTCTGCTTTAAGCCCTTTGGTTTTAGGTTGGAGAGTTTGAGGCTCAGGAAGGTGATGAATTTTCCCAGATCACATGGGCAGCTGATGGCAGAGCTGGGATGAGAAGCCCATCCCCCCACCTGGATGGGTGTCCCCCACTCCCCACCCCCACAGCATGCTGTCCCTGTGTCTAACACTCAAAGCTTGTAAGCCACTACCCATGTTTCTCTCTGTGCAAGGATGTTGAAACAACCCCCAGCACCACCCCCTTGGATCCTATAAACAACTGACACCGGATTGCTGGTTTCCAGAGACTGTTAAAAACAGCCTTGAAAACCATGCCTTAAAATTGCCCAGCATATTGTATGTTTTTTTTTTTTTTATAATGAAGGCAAATATCTGACACTATGCCTCTTTCTGTTCCCCTCTTCTTTGTCCTCCAGAAGCCAAGTACTCACAAGCCCCCAGCAGCATTTCCCAGCGGGCAGGGAGGGTGTGGACCACAAGCTGGCATTTCATGATGTGTCTGGGGACAAAAGCAGCTTCTGGAAAGAACAGAAATCCCTTCTTACAGCATCCTCTGATGACATTACCTCAAAACCTGAATCTCCTGGAATTATAGTTGAGGTTTCACCCCATAAGCATGAAACAGGAGGGGGCACAGACTGAATCCCTGGGGACTCAAGATAAGGCAAACATATTTTTTTAATCTATAATAAGTGAGGGAAAATATTTTGACAGCAGTGGCAGTGGCAATGTTAGGGCGAGTAACAAGAGTTCTGTTTGCCAAAGTATAGTAAACACCTGAAGGTGAAAGCAGAAGTGGGCCCCAGGGATCAATCATCTGATCCAACCCCTTTGTTTTCTAGAGGAGGCCCAAGGAGGCTAGGGGACTTATGCCAGAAAACATAGCGAGTTAGTATGTTAGGGCCTAGCCATGCCCTAGCTACCAAGTCTCAACGATAAGACTGATGCCTGCTGCAGTGCCCAGGCCTGTGATCCTTGGGTACTGAGACAGGCTGAAGGTCCTAAGCCCTTCAGAATCATGTCTTCTCATGTGAGTAGGGTGTGACGAGTGGACTCCCTCCTTAGGCCTGCCCCAGCTGCTCCCAGTGAAGTTTCCACCTGAGCTGTCTTTTTACAGGGCAGGTGCTGAGAGCCTGAAGTGGCTCTGGAGCCTTGGCCAAATGGTATATCCCTGACTCTGGGCTGGGTGCTGGCAGCGGACATTGGTCTTTGGCTTTCACTAGGTGGTCTCAAGCTAAAACCCACTTAGAAACTTGGGGGCCAGATGTCCAGGGGCTCTGATCTGCAAAGGGTCAAAATGGCATAATCAAATGGCATCTGACCCTTGGGGGTCAGATGCAACTGCCATCTGCCTCCTTTCCAAGGCACAAAGAACATTTCCTGAGTGCCTGGGAAACATGACTTAGACCCAAGCCATACTTGATACCCAGGTGCTATTCTATGACTTTGGAAAAGTTTCTACTCAGACTCAGTTTCCCTTGTATCCCTTTTTGTGGGTTTCCTTCTTTTTGTCAGGTTCTGATGTCTCTTTTATTTTCATCTGGACTTAGCGTAGTAGGGAAAAAAAGTGTGTGCTGGAGTCAGTCTTAGGGTCAAATGATGCTCCTGCTTAATACAAGGTGCGTGAATTTTGATAAGTTACTTAGCCCACTGGAACCCCAATCTCCCCATTTTTCAAATAAAATAATGTTATTTGCTCAAAGGGTTGTTGTGAGGATAAATGAGATAATGCTGACTTTTTTCCAACAGTGCCTTCCATGAGGCAGGTGTCCAAAAAACAGTAACTATTATTATCCTCATCACAGGACCCAGCCAACTGGGCTGCTCCAAATGATGGAGAGGGGGACTGTTCAAGATTCAGGCCTAGACAGCAGGAGTCATCCTAACCTCAATACATGGCACCGAGCCTGGCACATGTAAACAGACGTACACAAATTGTGAAACATAGGGAATTTTGCTGTGGCCTTGTTGACTCTCCTTCCTTTACATAAAAGTGCATCATATCCGACCTGACTGAGGAAAGTCATCTGAGGACCTCACAGCCCCAACTAAGCATCAACCATTGAGTGAAGTTTCCATCCAATTTCTTGCTCACCCACTGAACAGAAGTGTGAGCTGATTAATAGCTGGTAACCTTTCATCTGGGAGTGTTTCAAGCAGCCACCCACTTTTCTGCACCTTATTTTTACTTCCCTATGTGTACTGTCTCTGACCATCCTATGTGTTTCTGAGAATTGGTTTCTATGAAAGGAAATGGGCCATCTTTGGCAGTGTTAGAACCTCACTTAGTTCTGTGAGGTAACAGAGGAAATGCTTTCATTAATAATCACAGCCTTCTGTCCAACAGATTGTGTTCTAGGTTGTGCTGCCAAGTCCCAGTGGGGAGGGACTGTGGCCCTTATCTGAGAACAGCAGGGAGCTGCCGAGAGAGAAGAGCAGACCTGGAGTGTCCCGCTTCACCTGCACATTCCCTGTCACAGGGTTAGGCATTGATCATCAGGAATGCAACCCCTGTCTTTGCATTCAGAGAACTTGAATATTTGGTGGAGGGGGTGAGTGGCATGTACCAGTGTCCACCAATAGTAGACAAGTTCCAACTCACTCATCTTCTGACTCTTAGGCTGGTACTCTTTCCTCTCTGAGAGCCATTTGCACTCACCATGTTCCTAAGTTGTTATCTCTACAGTAATTCTAAAAAGATACTTTAATTCATGTTGGTTAGTCTTAAAAACAACTTTGAAATTCTCGTATGAAGGTGGCTTTATAGAAGTAAAATGTTCTAGTTGAAGGAAACATGATGCTGAAAATGAGTCAATTCATTCATTTATTCAGCAAACTTTTACTCAGTATTATCATATGATTCCCAAATTTTTCTTTAGGACAGGTCTTTCCAGGTCTTTAGGGGAGGTCCTAAAGAAAAATTTGGGAATACTAGATAATGTATTCATCTGCCTGCTAGACATTTCCACCATTGTATTCTACCACCACATCAAACTCAACATACTATGCAAACATGAATTTGTCCTCCTTTTTCCCCTAAAACATCCTTTTATTCTTTGTTCCTCTCCGAGTAAGTGGCCCGCCATCTTCACAAGGTTCCATGCAGAGTCTGGGCATCATTCTGAACTTCTCTATTTCGTGTTTCTGTATGTAAACCTATCAACAAGTTAAGAAGTTGGTAGATTCTACTTTCTAACTCTTGATTCCATCTACTTTTCTCTGTTGCCACTACTTTGGTTCAAGCCATTATCCTATCACTTTGAGTAGTACAATAGCTTCCTAACTTGCTTCTCCATCTAAAGTCTTACCCTCCTGAATTCCATCTTCCATACTATCATAGCTGGAATGACCTTTCTAAAACACAAAACCCAATCATGTCACTGCCCTGCTTAAACCCTTCAGTGGTCTCTCATTATCCTCACTCTGAATTCCAACTGTGAGCATGGCTTCCCAGACCTGCTCACTTGGGCCTACACTTTCCCTCCAGCCTCCCACCTTCCTCCTTCCCCTCACCCCTCCTGGCACCTCTTTAGTTTCCTCTCTCCCCATGTTCTCACCTATGCTACAACTTCCTAATATCATGCCAAACCTCTCTGTGTTTCCTTTTGCTGCTCCTTTTGCTCTGAGGGCAGTTCTCATTAGCTACACGTTGGTTCTCTAGTGAACTCCCACTGATATTTCAAGATGTAGAGGAGGTACCTCATTTTCAGTGACTTCACTGTACGGCTACTTCTTCTTTTGCAAATTACACAACTGCTGTTGCTGCATCACCTGCCACAGTAGTATCTGTAATCCATGTCTCCCATCTCACAGATGGGGGTTCCTCAAGGGTGGGTGATTGTCCACTTCACCTCAGCACTAGTTCAGAGCCCACTGCTGAACAGATACCCAGGAAATGTTGTTGAATTAATTAATTACTATGTAATCCCTCCCATTAACAGCAAGAGCTTATCAGTTGAGCGATAAGAGAGAACGTATGAAACGAAGCTTAAAGATGACTGTACTAAGTGCTGTTAGGGAGAGAAAAGCAGTGTCATGAGGAAGAGAGAGAGAACACGCTTCTTTCTAGGAAACCAGCAACAAAGCTTCTTTGAGAGATTGGGTAAGGAATATTTTATAAAGTGGTCTCTCGAAATTATCTCAAGGAAATAATGACACAAGCCTGTTAAGACATATATACAAAGGGTGTTTACTTCAGCATTGTTTAAAATCATTTTTAAAAACCTCTTTTAAAAACTACCTAAAGGTCCATCACAGGAAACTGGCTAAATAAATTTCTTTAGAGCAATGAATGGAAATTATGAAGCCATTAAAAGTGATAATGTATATCTACATTGATGGATATGGGTGGGTATTGACTCAATGTCATTTATTTAAGTGAAAACACACAAATGTACAAATAAACTCTGTATATTTTCAAGGATAAACCCTTACCTGAGGACATATATTAAATACAATATAATGGAGGAAGGGAATGGGAGCATAGCAAATAAAGGGAAATTAAAACTATATGAGAAAACACAAGAAGGGCTTTATATAAAAAATGTTGATATTGAACCATGATCTGAGGAATACGATTAACATAAGCAGCACTTTAGGAATAAAAATGAAAGAAAAAAGGAGAGATAATATTGTAATAAATTGTTAAGTCAAAAATGCAGGTCACAAAACAGTAAGTGTAGCACCACTTACTTTTGCTTTATACACACACTTGCTTGAGCTTGTGTGCACAGGAAGTTTGGTCAGTTCATAATTTATATCAAAATCTTAACAGTGATTATAACTGCTGGTGGTATAATGGTGGCATTTCACTCTCTCCTTAATATCTTTCTGAACTCTTTATAATGAGCATATAACATTTATAAGCAGAACAATGTGCAAATGTTTTTATTTCAGCAAACAAATAAATGCACAAAATGTATTTCATTCACCAAACTAATAAAATCCTAACAAAGCTCACTTCTTTCTATAAAGTCTGAGTTTCGTTTTCTTTCCTGACACGGCCTGGAAAATGCACTAGATTAATAGTGAGAAACACTTTTACAATTTGCAAACTGCCTCCAGGGTTTGTTCTTACAATGAACTGGTGAATTAGGTGAGGCAGAAACTTTCATAGAACTTGTATAGATGAGAAAACTGAAGTTCAAAGAGGACACAGACTTTTGCAAAAGTCACACGGGAAAACACTGGCAGAGTTTGGACTGAAACCTAGCTCTGATGCTTTAGGGAAAGGTGTGGTCCCATGAACCTGTCAAAGCACAGAAAACTCACACAGGCCTTTGGGAGGCTTGGAAAACTTCCTGAGGATATTAGCTGGTTTTGTGGTCAACAGTTTCAGGTTGAGGTCCCAGAATGGTGGGTTTTACCTTCAGAGAAATCATTTCCTTATTTCCTGGAAACGCAGCAGATAAGGTTGACCAGAGATGTTAATGTTCCCCAAGGCTTCTCGGATCTTTACTTTGTCCTTTGGGTAGATTCCTTTCTGGACTTCACTGGACAACTCTAGACCCAACCATAGGCACCCAGAAGTGGTGATCTATGGAAGCTCTGAATTTTCTATTTTTTGAATTTGAATATGAGTCATTGTAATGAACAGTGGATAGTGCTTTAGCATTTACAAAGCTCTCTCCTATCTCACATCTTACATAAACCTTGGCATTGTTAGCATCAATCTTACAGAAGACAAAACTGAGCCTCAGAGAGGTTTGGTGACATAGCAGATTCTGATGGTCAGGGACTCTGACTCCCAGCACTGTGTCTCCCGATCACAACTTCTCCAAGGTGCTGAGATGTCACCTCAGGGTTCTCCTGAGCTTCTCCTCCATATTCATCACCCAGAGCTAAATAGAATGAGCCTAAGAACTAAAGGTCTTTGATCTACCTGTGAATCCTAAAAGACTGCTGTTAATTCATTGTTTGTAA
This sequence comes from Homo sapiens, assembly GCF_000001405.40. Classification (NCBI taxonomy): domain Eukaryota; kingdom Metazoa; phylum Chordata; class Mammalia; order Primates; family Hominidae; genus Homo; species Homo sapiens. The sequence goes on along the minus strand of NC_000002.12, from coordinate 17,579,815 downwards.
AGGGAGTGGCTCTAACTGAAAGCACCACAGGAGGTCCTTTTCCAGGATTCTTTCATCCCAGGGCCCTCCCAAATGCCTGTGTGGGTTTTCGGTGCTTTGATAAGTTCATTGGACCACACCTTTCCTAAAGCACCAGAGCTAGGTTTCAGTTTCAGCTTTGCCAGTGTTTTCCTGTGTGACCTTTGCAAAAGTCTGTGTCCTCTTTGCACTTCAGTTTTCTCATCTATACAAGTTCTGTGAAAGTTTCTGCCTCAACGAATTTGCCAGGTCATTGTAAGAACAAACCCTGGAGCCAGTTTGCAAATTGTAAAATTGTTTCTCACTCTTAATCTAGTGCACTTTCCAGGCAATGTCAGAAAAGAAAACAAGACCTAGACTATATAGAAAGAAGTGGGCTTTGTGGCCAGGCGCGGTGGCTCACGCCTGTAATCCCAGCACTTTGGGAGGCCGAGGCGGGCGGATCACGAGGTCAGGAGATCGACACTATCCTGGATAACACAGTGAAACCCCGTCCCTACTAAAAACACAAAAAATTAGCCGGGCGTGGTGGCGGGCACCTGTAGTCCCAGCTACTCAGGAGGCTGAGGCAGGAGAATGGCATGAACCCGGGAGGCGGAGCTTGCAGTGAGCCAAGATTGCACCACTGCACTCCAGCTTGGGCGACAGAGCGAGACTCCGTCTCAAAAAAAAAAATAAAAAAAAAGAAAGAAAGAAAGAAGGGGGCTTTGTTAGGCAGGGACAAAAAGAGGGAGTAGGTTTTCAAATCCCTGGCATGAAGGAGAAAACACACTTGTTGATGAGGAGCCAACAGAAGATTCACAAAAAAGAAGCTGGAGGAAGAGGAGTTGCGTAGAAGGAGAAGCACAACCAAGTGTTCCTTCTTAGGGTTTTGGAAGCTGGATGGAAAGAACGTATTTACCAAAGGTTACGAGAGGAATGCTGACCCTCTTCTGTGAGGTCCCTGTGTTTGATGTGTTTCCAGCTCTGATTTAGGCTTATGCTGTCCTTGCTGGGCCTTTGTGAAGTATCCAGCAAGGCTGGAACAAAGCACTTTATTGTAGTGCATGAAAAATATCTTTGCTGAAAGAGACAATGCCAAGGCTAGGGGGACTAAAATTAGACCTTCCGGTGTGTTTGACTTGGCAAGTTGTATGGCCTCCTCCACCTGCCTCCCTCCCAGCCGTGGGCCTTCTGAGAGCACAGGTAGCATGTGCTGAAGGAGAGGAAGTGCCGCTTCCTCTGGCACCCTGTGGGGATGACAAATGCTTCTGGGCCTGTGTCACTTTCACTTGGAGTAGTTATGTGAAGTGATACTCAGTTTGAAGGGACATGTTTCCACATCAGCTAATCTGCAAATAAGGATGAAACCATATTGAGTCTCCCCATTAACCTAATGTCCCTCCATGTTGAAACCAAAAGAAAACCTCAAAACAATCCTATGTTTGAACCTCACATTTACCTTTGTCTAAGAATTTAGAGCTTCACCTAGTAACCATGGCAGAATCCAAAGAGCCAGTTATCAGTGCCTTCCATCACACAGTGGAGTTGTGTTGTCTACAGCAAAGACCCGGGCCTTCTCATTAGACAAACAAGGTGAGATACTTGCTGAAGCACATCTACTAGCTGGGAAGGGAAATTTACTGAGTTTTTCTTATCCTGTTCATTCAACATTAAATTGTGTATATTAATAACTACCTCAAAATGTTAAATAAAATAATAAATCTATATGACCGATATTTTAGCAGTAATAACAACAGCTTATATGATCAAGTGCTCACTATGTGTTCATGGATTACCTCACTTCTTCTTTACAACCGTTTTATGAAGTAGATACCATTATATAGTCATATTACAGTTGAGGTGAATGAGGCTTACCGAGAAGGTTACACAACAAGAAAATGGTAGAGTTGGGATTTGAACCCTGACAGACCCTTAGCCATTGTAAACTATTCTGTCAGATTAGAGATGAGAAACAAAAAAGTACTTTTCTGTGACAAAAACCGTTATTTCCACATAAGAGCTCATCAGTCTCCCTTTTTCACCTGGGTGCTGCCTTTATGTAACATTTTTTTCCCCAAGTGAGGGAACTCTGGGGTCCCCTGAGGCTTGGTCAGTTATCTCACAGTTGCCTGCCCCTGGTCCCCAGGGCAGATGGGAGAGGACTTGGATGCTAAATAGAAGGGTAGCCATTGAAAGAACAGGGAATGTTTAGCCTGGAGAAACAAAGACTCAAGAGAGGACATTTGAGGTCTCCTCAAATACATGCAGAATTTATGGGCACAAAAATAGACATATAGATCAGCATAACAGAATGGAGAGTCTAGAAATAGATCCAGCTATACAGACTCACTTAATATATGATCAAGGAAGCTTTTCAGAACAAGGGGGAAATAGAGGAAATATAATTTATAAGTGACATAATCACCTCTTGATAGCAGTTCAATAAAAAAAGTAAGAACCATACCATATGCCATCTTTTAAAAAATCATTAACATTTGGAATCAAAAGTTCAATACAAAAACTATCAAAGAAAACTATCAGAAACTGAAAATATAGACAAAAGGTTAATAGCTATGTATGTGTATATAATGTCATGTGCCTCAGAGTGACGGTTCACTCAACAATGGACTATATATATGATGGTGGTCCCATAAAAGTATAATATATTTTTACTGTACATTTTCCATGTTTAGATATATTTAAATATACAAATACTATTGTGTTACAATTGCCTACAGTACTCAGTACAGTAACCTGCTGTACAGGCTTGTAGCCTATAGGCAGGTGTGTAGTAGGCTATGCCGTCTAGGTATGTGTAAGGACTCTCTATGATGTTTGCACAATGATACATTTCTCAGAACATGTTTCTGTCATTAAGTGATGCATGACTGTATTTGTATCTAAAGCAAATACCAGTTATTAAGGAAACCATCAGAGACAGAAGACAGAAATGATTAAAGAGTATGAATAGAAAAGAGTAAACACAAATAGTAAACTGATAGAAGTATGTTTAACCTGATTATTAAGGTCAAGATGGACTCTCTAAATAAAAGCAAAGACAGAAACTATAAAAGATAAGACTGATAGATATAACTACATAAAGATTCACAGTTTAGGGAATCTAAAAAAACAGAAAAAGTAAAAATAACAACATGGGACTATATATTCAACATACGTGTCTTTTAAGTATTAACATTGCTTAAAAATAAATGGGAAGAGGATTATGCTGGCAGGCTGAGCAATGAACATCAATAGAATATGAACAAAATATTAAATATCAATGGCCAAGTTTACACCTACAAATAATCAAATACAGCAAAACTGCATGTTAATATAACCCACCAGAAAACACTAGAAATAAATAATTAAATATAAACTTTTGATTCCAGGGGAAGGTATCTTAAAGAAATAACCCAAGAGGAAAAAGTTACATACAGACACATATTTATTGCATTTTCATTTTAATAATAGTAGAAACTCTAGCACTATAACCATTTCCCACTAGGGAAATGGATAGTAAATCATGGCACATTAACTGAGTGGAACATAAAATTGTGAATGCAATGTTGAAACATGGCAAATTACTTATGATACGCTAAGTGGAGAAAGCAGAGATGCAAAATTAAACACACTCTATAATTACAACTAGTTACTGCAAAAAATGAAGACAATTGTTTTCCTCTCTTGCTGCTTACAAATGAATAAAAAGTGTGGACTATATGCAGAAACCATGTTAAGTATCAGGATATGGAGATGAAAAAGAAATGGCTTATTTCCTATACAAACCAATGACCCAATGAGAGGGACAAATAATATGCAAAAAAATTTATTTTTAAGTTATAATAATGGAATGATAAGCATATTCCTATAATTTACAAGTTTCTATGGTAACAAGTGAATGTTAAATAGAGATCTCTTATAGGTTATCATATTAACTTATATATTAACATATGAGAACTTGTAAAGATATTTGTGAAATCGGGCCGGGCGCAGTGGCTCATGCCTATAATCCCAGCACTTTGGGAGGCCGAGGCAGGCAGATCACAAGGTCAGGAGTTCGAGACCAGCCTGGCCAACATGGTGAAACCCCGTCTCTACTAAAAATACAAAAAATTAGCCGGGCATGGTGGCGCATGCCTCTAATTCCAGCTACTCGGGAGTCTGAGGCAGGAGAATCGCTTGAACCTGGGAGGCGGAGGTTGCAGTGAGCAGAAATCATGCCACTGCACTCCAGCCTGGGCGACAGTGTGAGACTCCATCTCAAAAAAAAATAAAAAAAATAAAAAAAAAGATATTTGTGAAATCTACTTAATTTTCCCTATATAAGGTTGAGAAGGTTGAGGTCCAAAGAGAGTAAGTAGTCTAGAGTGACAAAGGTCGAACTACACTTAGAAAAACAACCAGGTTTCCTAACTCCCACTATTGTGTTATTTCAATTATTTTATGGACTGTCTTCAATGATTTAACCTTCAAATTATTCAGAGGTAGGTAGTCCCTTGTATTTTAAGCTAATGATGGATGCCCTTTTATTCTTATTTTCTCCTGACTTTAGGAATCTGAATTCCTCCTCTGCTTCCCTCCCGGGTTGGGAGGTGACCAGCAACCAGCCTGCATTTCTACCTTCCCAGTACCTGCAATCCAGAAGGAAGAGGTTCAGCTCTTGGCCATCTCCTACAAAAAGTTTAATAGGCTGGGCATGGTGGCTCATGCCTGTAATCCCAGCACTTTGGGAGGCAGGGCAGGTGGATTGCTTGAGTCCAGAAGCTTGAGACCAGCCTGGGTAACATGGTGAAACCCTGTCTCTACAAAAAATACATAGAAAAGAAGAGAAAAGAAAAGAGAGGAAGGAAGGAAAGAAGGGTAAGAAAGCAAGAAGGAAAGATTAGCTGGGCATGGTGGTGTGTGCCTGTAGTTCCAGCTACTTGGGAGGCTGAGGAAGGAGGATTGCTTGAGCCCAGGAGGTGGAGGCTGCAGTGAGCCGTGATCACAGCACTACACTCCAGGCTGGGGGACAGAGTGAGACCCTATCTCAAAAAACAAAGTTTGATAGCTTAGTTTTCATGAAATAACGAAGTCTTCCATAAGTGGCAAGGCTCTTTTCCACATCCAACCCAAAGATTACAGCATGGAAAATGAATGGGCAGAAGAGAAACAAACAAAGGAAAATCCCTGAGTATTCAGCTGGAGCCAGTGACTGGCAAGGATCCCAGGGTGTATGGACACCTTTATTAAACTACTTGTAAAATTCTATGGACTGTATTTGATTGCTTTTTTGAAAGGACTAACTTGAATACGCTCAAAGAATTTTCAGCTGGAATATTAGCTAAAATCTGAATAAGAAAGATGAAGGCAAGAGTTAAATTGGTGACTCATCTGAGAAAGCACAGTTTAAAATATTAGGGGGCAGACACTTCTGAAACCATGGTGCAGAAAGGAGCTTAGCTTTTGTGAAAGAACACAGTGGGTCAGGAAGGAGTGTTTCATGTGATGATAGGGCTAAAAGTGCTGTATTTTGGCCCATATATAATCATTCTCAGGGGTAGAGAAAAAGTTATCTGTTAACTGAACTCTGCTGACTTTTTGATAGAAATATAAAGATCAGGGTGGGGGGGGATCAAAGAAAGACATAGGATAGGATTTACCCAGAACCTACGGGTCAGTTATGACTTGCAGGAGAATAGAATGGGTGTCAGGACAAGCTTCGAAACTTGAAGTCAATGGAAATTACCAGATGCATGAGAAGTACAAAGAAAATGTGAAGTCAAATCCCAGTAAATGGCTTCCTTGCTGCTAAAGTTAGGTTGCTTGTACAAAACGCATGTTTGGCTTTTGAGAACTGCATTCAACCACAAAGCAACTGCTGCCAAGCAGAATCCTAGAATCACTGAACTGAGAGGGAACCAAAATATCCTAGCTTAGATAAACTCTTTCCTTTTCCAGATGAGAAACAGGTCTAGGGAAGACACAAGCTTTCTCTAAGTGTGTAGAAAATATCTGTGGCAGATCTTGTTCCAAAGCCTCATCTCCTGATTCCAAATCCAATATTCTCTTCAGTTGCCACTTTTACCCAAAGTCAATCAACAAAAACACCAAGTAGGTGTCAGAAGAAATGAGCTTACTCATCTTGCAGAGAAGCATAAGGCAATGGAGGATACAATGGGCAGGACCTCATCTCTGTCTCAGTAATTCAGCAAAGCGTCATGAGTTTGAAATCCACAGTCTGAAATTTATGAGTCAGCCTATGTTGCTCCATTTCTTCCCCTAGTTCTAATTAATCAGAAATTCTAATTTCTAACCATGAATTCCTCTTCTGTTCTCCATTTCATTTATTCCACCTCACTTCAGAAACTTTTTTTTTTTTTGCAAAAACTAAGTAGTCTTCCTGTTTGTAGCCTGTACCCTTCAAATTTAGTCTTGACATTGCCTCCATAGTAATTTTACTAGAATAAATATCTGACCATTTCAGGCATTCAATGCCTTACTGATGCCTGAAGAGAAAGTCCCAGTTCTTTTGTAAGACCCATAGGGGTCACCATGATCTTGTTTATGCCTTTCTCTTCAGTTTCATCTCTTACTTCTCCCACTTCATGCTCCCAGACTTAAAACATGAGTAAATTTGCATTTTCCAAAATGTGTCAATAGTTTATCAGGCCTCTGTCAGCATAGTACGCACTTGTCGAATGGCCAAATGAATGAACAAATGAGTCAAAAGAGATTTAATAAAGAAATTTCTTAAAGATATTGGTTACTTTGCTAATTAATCCTCTCTAGTCATAATCTCCTCTGAGGATGAGTACTATGTCTGTCCTGTAGGCTTTTATATGTCCAGTATTTAACAGTTGAATAGATGAATGAATGGATGATGAATGAATAAAACATTGCAGCAGAGATTCATGTGGCTATTATGGAAGGACAGAGAAGACAATCAAACACATTTGTGGGAATTGAGAGAAGCTTCACATGAGAAGCAACCTTTGCAGTGGATGAATAGGGACTGCCAGGCAGGAATGATAGATACAAAGAGATGTGAAAGAGCATGTTATGTTCAGAGATTAAGTAGTAAGAGAATACCACTGGAAAGCCTGAGGTGGGCAGGATAACCTGAGGGAAAGGGTGAGACAGAGTTAGATTTAAATCCCAGCCTTAATTCTCACTACCTGTATGACTCCAATCAAGCTATAGAACCTCTCTTACATGAAGATTAAACATGGAGTAATAGAAATGAATAATGGTTATTGTATGGCATGAAACAAGAGGCTGTCTCCCTTTGCCTCCTTCTTCTTTTTCTTCCTCCTCTTCTTTTTTAGTGTTAATTACTTGTTTTGGCATAAGTATCCTGGGCTGCTCCAGTCACAGTGTAAGACTAGAGACCCCTAGTCTTACACAGATCTAAACCCCAAAACCTCTGCCCTGGATGTTCTCTGTGGAAAACCGGGTCTTATTTACATATCTGTATCTCATTTATCCTACTGCATGCGCCAGACAAATGTAAAATAAAAACAAGTGCCTCCAACTCAGATGAAAATAGGAAGGACCAATGGAAGAAGAAGAAATCCACTTGCTATCTAGTTTCTAAAGTTTTTATTCATCTGCTATCTATATCCAAATAATTTGGCTCCTCCATATCTCTCCACAGAAAGATTGTATAATTTATTGTCCAAAAAGCATACTTTGAGAGTGAAAGGAGGTGCTATTATTTACACCAGGACAACAGGCATTGTTCAGGACTACCTTAAGAAAATCAGGGTGCACGTTCTTTCTACCTCTCCAGCTTTATCTCTTATTACCCTCTCTGTTATTTACTGTGCTTCAGTCATACTCACTTTGTGGTCTTCTCTAACATATTGAGTTCCTTCTCATATTACAGCCTTTATGTGAACTTTTCTCTCTCTCCTTAGAATTCTCTTTTCCTAAGATTCTTTATGGCTGGCTTCTTGCCAGTCAGATCACTGCTCAAATGTGACCTGTCAGGTCTTTCTGGCCTATTTCAACTAGTCTCTCCCATGACACACTCCTAGTGACTATATAATTACCTTGCTTTATATTCTTTGTAGCTCTTAAAATGATCTGAACTTATCTAGTGTATTTGTTAATTTACATGAGTATTTATTGACTGTCTACTTTCACTAGAATGTAAGCTCCAAGAGGGCAGGAACCTGGTCTGTCTTGTTAGCACTCTTTGTACCTAGAATTGTCCCTGGTGCTGAGTAGGTGCTTAATAAATATTTGTTCTATGAATATCTTAATTTTTGATCATTTTTAAAAATAGGCTATCTTGATAGTGATGACTTTTGGTATTAATATATAAATGTGTTCATTTCATATATTAATACAAAGAGGTTGTCTCTGTCAACTTGGTTGAAAGAAACGTCAACTTTAAATTCCTATAGCTACCTTGCCTGCTCATGAGCTCAGTAGGGTTATGCATCACTAGGTAGGGTTCTTAATTATTAGCAACCTCAAGGAAGAACTGAAAAAACAACCTTAAATCAGATTAAAGGCTACAATGTTGTTTAAAAAATTATTATTAGTTGTGTTAGGTTCCGGCTAGATAGCATCCTAGTACCTAAAGGAAAGTGTGGTTGAGGGTTACAAAACACCTAGGGAGGTTGCCTGACCCAAACCATAGCTAAAACATAAGCTCTTGGTATTTTGCATATTTTTAGATCATAAGTCTATTTCTTTCCCTCCTATTTTAAAGTGCTTTGGAGGTTTTTAATCAACCAAGTTTGAAAAAGGGAAATATTACCAGTTTATTTTGGGTAAATTAGTTTTGCCTATTTTTTTTTTGAGATGGAGTCTTGCTCTGTTCCCCAGGCTACAGTGCAGTGGCGCAATCTCGGCTTACTGCAATCTTCGCCTCCTGGGTTCAAGCGACTCCAGCCTCCCACATAGCCAGGATTACAGGCGCCACCACCGCACCTGGTATTTTTAGTAGAATTGGGGTTTCACCATCATGGCCAGGTTGGCCTCGAACTCCTGACCTCATGATCCACCCACCTCGGCCTCCCAAAGTGCTGGGATTACAGGTGTGAGCCACTGCACCTAGCCTAATCTTGCCATTTTTGACAATCAATTAGCCTTTCTAAGGCTCAGTTTCCTCATCTATAAAATTATGATACTACCACCTGACTGAAAGGGCATTTGTAAAATTAGAAATAATGTAGGTAATAAACCTAATGCAGTGGCTGATATAGGAGATGCTTAATAAATAGTATCTACTTTTATGGTTTATTTTCTCAGATTGTATTAATCTGTGTATTCCATTTGCATTTGGAAATAAGTTTTCAAATAATACCAATCCATAGATACTCACACTCAGAAAAATCCTGATGCCAAATACTATAAACCTTTGGTGTTAATAGATTTAATATTTAAATTTTCAGGTATTTCATAATGGGCCTAAATAGCTCATTAAGTCAAGTGGTTTATAAGTTTCTTGGAGCACACGTTCAAAACATGATTGGTATAGGGCTGGTGTGTAGCCCTAATAAGTGATTCTCCCAAGCATCTGCATTTAAGTACAGTTTTGTTAATCTTTATTCTACCCTACGCATGTAGGGAGTCTCATAAATGATTTAAAAACACAGCAAAAACTAAAAAGCTTTGTTTATTTTGTGAACAATGTCCCCCTTAAAAAACACATCTCCTCCTGCTGATAATGGAAGTGAAAAGAGAAGAGGTCAATCTCTTCACTGTATTTCATGAAGAAAACTACCAGTCAGACACTCAATTTGGAGATTTGCAAGATTTCAAAATGTCTCCTTTACATTATGCCAGGTATATAGACTGAGCGGAAAAGATCCTTCATCGAATATTCCAAAATAAAAACTTTAAAACAAGAAATTGGAATCCTGAATTGGAATGCTTACCTAGTTATAGTCTGAGTTTGTACTATTTCCCCAAAGTAAGAACCCTAAGCCAAGAAACATCACGGAACTATTATGGAGCTCTGGCAATTACAAATTCTAAAATGGTCTTAAAGGGATGTTTTCATTACCTGTTTTCAGTAATTTCTTGTTAAAGAATTAAAAATAGAGACTTGAAGATCAGAATAATTAATTATGAGGGATAATGGAATAGAAATTCTAAAAATATAAACTTAATACATTTTTAAATAGAGTTTAAATAATAGTTGAGACACAGATGAAGAGGAAAGAGTAAATTGGAAGTTAGTTCTAATGAAATTATCTGGAATGGAGCACAGTGAGGTAACGGATGAAAAATATGGAAGAGACATTAAGAGATAATGAAGCTAGAATGAGAAGCTCCAATTAATAGCTTCTAATAATGAGAAGCTATTAATAGCTCCAAAGCGAGATAAGACAGAGAGTAGGAGAGAAATTAAACCATGGAGTTTTTCAGATTTGAAAAATTCAGAATAAAACATTTTACAAATTTCAGAGTAGGAGAAATAAAACAAGTCCACATGTGGGCACATGACAATATTTTTTTTAATTTTTAATTTATTTTATTTAATTTATTTATTTTTATTTTTATTTTTTTTTTGAGACAGGGTCTCGCTCTGTTGCCCAGGCTGGAGTACAGTTGTATGATCTCCACTCCCTGCAACCTCAGCCTCCTGAGTTCAAGCAATCCTCCTGCCTCAGCCACCCGAGTAGCTGGGATTACAGGTGCCTGCCACCATGCCCAGCTAATTTTTGTATTTTTAGTAGAGACAGGGTTTCGCCATGTTGGCCAGACAGGTCTCAAACTCCTGACCTCAGTGATCTGCCCATTTCGGCCTCCCAAAGTGCTGTGATTACAGGAGTGAGCCACCATACCTGGCGACAATGAAATTTAAGAACATAAAAGTTGAAGAAAATTATCTTAAAATCTATCAGAAAGAAAATTTTGGTTAACTTACAGGAAGAGCCATTAGTCTAAAGTCAGCCTTCTCATCAGCCACATTTAATGCCAGAAATCAACAGAATAGTTTCAAAATGCTAAAGGAAAAAAAATCAACTAATAATTATATACCCAGTTAAAGTTTATTCAAAATGAGAGTGAGATAAAGACATTTTCAACTGGATAAAAATTAGAGAAAATACTAATTATGGACCCTATTATTAAAGGATGTACTTCAGGACGAAGGACACTGAAACCAGAATGAAGTAGTTGTAAGAAGCAACGATGAGTAAAGAAATAGATGAAAAAAGTTGGTAAACAACAACAAGGGATGTTTTGGGATTAAAAACTAAGGTGCAACAAACATACTAGGATGCAATGACATGAATGATGGGGGTTGTGTTTTGGAGTTAAAACATGCAAGGTCCTTCACTTGTTTAAAGACAACTAAAGATACTGACTGACCTTAAAATTTGTTAAGTAGCCTAGGCAACATAGCAAAACCCCGTCTCTACTAAAAAAATATGTATATACTTGTCTGGCATAGTGGCATGTACCTATAGTCCTAGCTACTGGGGAGGCTGAGGTGGGAAAATCACCAGAGGCTGGAAGGTTGAGGTTGCAGTGAGCCAAGATTGCACCACTGCACTCCAGCCTGGGCAACAAAGTAAGACCCTGTCAAAACAAACAAACAAACAAACAAAGCCGAATTGTTAAGTATACATATTAAAAAGGTAACAAAATAGGTATCAAAACAGTGGTAATTATAACTTCTAGGTAAATAGAAGAAAGGAAGGAAAATAAATAAAACTTAATTCAATAGAAAACAGAAAATGAGGGGAGAGGCCAAAAAATAAGCCTAGCATATATTAAAAATATAATATAAGAAGATAGATGGAATTCTAAATACATTCGTCATCTCAGTAAAATCCAGCTATATGCCATTTGTAAGGAATCATCTAAAAAAAGAATAGACTAATTTAACTTTTGAAAAGAGAGGTAAAATACCTACAAATTATCAAATAGAATCCAGCAATGTATTTAAAATATCACTATCAAGCAGGGGTTATTCCTGGAATGCAAAATGATACATATTAGAAAATCTATTACAGGTATTGACCTTATTAGTAAAGAAGTAAAAAAGCTTTTTATTAGAAAAGCATTCAATAAAATCAGCACACATTAATGATTATTTTAAAAAGAAAAAGAAAACTCTCAATAAATTAAGACTAGAACGAATATCCTTAACCTGATAAAGGTTCATACCAAAAAACCTATAGCAAAGTGACGTTAAAAAAGTGAGACTTGGGCCGGTCATGGTGGCTCACGCCTGTAATCCCAGCACTTTGGGAGGCCGAGGCAGGCGGATCACGAGGTCAGGAGAGCGAGACCATCCTGGCTAACACAGTGAAACCCCGTCTCTACTAAAAATACAAAAAAAATTAGCCTGGCGTAGTGGCGGCCGCCTGTAGTCCCAGCTACTCCGGAGGCTGAGGCAGGAGAATGGAGTGAACTCGGGAGGCGGAGCTTGCAGGGGGCCGAGATCGCGCCACCGCACTCCAGCCTGGGCGACAGAGGCAGACTCCTTCTAAAAAAAAAAAAAAAAAAAAAAAAGTGAGACTCTATGAGACTCTCTTTACATCAAGACCAAAATCATGTAAGATGCCTAGGAATACACCTCATAAAACTGTGGCAAAATTTTATGGAGAAAACTATAGAACTTTATTTTTAAAAATTTGAATAAATTTTAAATATACCTGGAAACCAAATCATCTTATAATGCATCAGTTCTGTTATCATTAGTATAAACACTCAATTCAATTCTAATAAAAATCCCAAGTATATTTTTTATGAAGTTTAACCAAATGAAAAAGCAAAAGGTCAGTAATATTTAAGACAACTTTGAGGAAGACCACGGATAGTGTTCTACTCCATTAAATATCTAAGCTTATTATAAAGCCACACTATTTAATACAGTTTGGTACTGATAAAATAATGGAAAAATACAAAATGGCAATAGAACAGAGAGCTAAACATTTGGGACTTTACATGTGATAGTGGGTGCCTAATACAACAACAGAGAAAGAAAAATATATTCAATAAAACTGTGTTAGGATAACTGAATGTCTACAGGGCAAAAATAAAATTAGATTTCAACCTCACACCAATCTCAAAAATACGTTTCAGTTAGATTAAAACCCAAACTTAACACAGTATTTTAAATCATGGTAAGAGGTTGATAAATCCAACTATCTCAAAATTTAAAATTTTGTTTTTAAGACAAAAGCAACCATAAACAAAGTTAAATAAGTGACAGACAAAGAGATAATATCTGCAATGTATATAACAAATAGTTTGCATTCAGAATTTATAAGGAATTCCAAATGATGGATAAGAAAAAGACAAACAATCCTATTAAAAAATAGGCAAGGCCTGTGAATAAGTAATTTACAGAGAAGAAAACCTAAATGGCCACTAAAGATTAAGAAAATGAAAAATTATGAAGGACCATTTTATATAATCAGTTTGATTTAAAAATTTAATATTATGATACCAAATGACTGCAAAGATGTAGAGCAATATGAATTCTTCTAATATACTGCTGGTGGGAATATAAATTGGTATATTTTCTGTAGAGAACAATTTGGCAGTATTTAATACAGCAGAAGATGCATATAGAGCATGATCTGGCAATTCCATTTCACTATATATCTCACATATATATACAAGAAGCCATGTGAAAAAGATGTACACTCTAACTTTGTAATAGCAAAAAAAGAAAAGATAACTAAATGTTCATCAAAAAGGGAATAAATAACAAGATATAGTTGCATGATGAAATACTGCTGTATAAGTCTGTTCTCACGCTGCTAATAAAAACATACTAGGGACTGGATAATTTATTAAAAAAAAGAGGTTTATTTGACTCACAGTTCAGCATGGCTGGGGAGGCCTCAGGAAACTTACAATCACAGCAGAAGGGGAAGCAAACACATCCTTCTTCACATGGTGGCGGGAGAGAGAAGAATCAGTGCCCATTGAAGCAAGGAAGACCCTTATAAAACCAGCAGATCTCATGAGAACTGACTCACTATCACTAGAACAGCATGCAGGAACTGCTGATTCAATTAAGTCCACCTGGTCCCTCCCATGACGTGGGAATTATGGGAACTACAATTCAAGATGAGATTTGGGTGGGGACACAGCCAAACCATCTCAGCTGTATAGTAGTTATAATAAATGAATAATATTACATGAACTCTAATTTTATTTTTGCCCTGTAGACATTCAGTTATCCTAACACAGTTTTATTGAATATATTTTTCTTTCTCTGTTGTTGTATTAGGCACTAACTATCACATGTAAATTGATAATAGCATATAATATTATCATAATAAACATGATCTAAAAGTACTTTTGAGAGAAGCAATTTGGTGAATGATACATTAAGTATGATGTCAGCTACTTAAATATCAAAAATGATACTGTATAGATCTACATATTAAGTAAAAATAAAAGTGTTCATGAAGAAAATACATACCAAATTAAATAGAATGATTGCTTTGAGGAAGAAGGTAGGTGAGTGAGATTGAGAATAGAAATGAAAATAATTTCAAAATATGAGAAGGCATTAATATTCATAACTTCTGGGTAGATCAATGGATATTTATTATATAATTCTCCGAATTTTTCTGTATGTTTGAAATTTCTCCCAATAAAAAAGTATTTTCTTTTAAAGTATTTTGTAATTCAGACTTCTCCCTAATCCAGACTAACATTGTCCTAGGTACTTTACAATGTTGAAGATTAATCAAACGGCCATCTATGATTTTAGATAATCTTTTTTCTTCTAGCTCTTACCATAGACAGTAATCATGTTCATCTCAAAGGAAACATGGTAGAATACTAAAAAGAAAATTGTCCCATAACTCTAAAAATTTTGCTAATTTAAAGCATGTCCATTTTAAGTTTAGGAAAAAATACATTTCTCTGATACTCCATTGCTAATTCTGAAGTGATTTCATTTTCATGACATACAAATTTGGTATAGAAATTCAACTAAATTGAAATTCAGGTTAATTTCCGTAATCTTACGACTACTTTGTTGATACTACAATTGCATCTGCGATACTTTCAAGCTAGTTTTTTGTTCATTGCAACTATTTGTTTACTTGTCCGACTCCATTAGACCCTGACTGCTTTGAAGGTGGGAGTCTGTCTTGCTCATCAATAATTATACCATGTGGGCATTCAGCAAGTGTTTTAAAAAATAATTTTATAAAGTTTCTATTTTCATCTGTGAATTCAGATACTAGGCACAGCCGTTTAACACAAATTTGTAAAGCAACTTGAGAAATTCTTATCTTTAGAGGTTCTAAAATAGAAAAAAAAACAAAGTTGGAAGGGGAGTAACACTTTGAGTCATCTGGTTTTCTGCCATTGTACTAAGAACACACAATGAGGATATAATCATTTGTAGTTGCTGCTGTTGTTGTTTTTACAGAATCCTAAGCATAAGTATTGGAATAATTTCTTAAAAACCACTCTGAACAGCCTAATGAGATGGTGTAATAAAGGTACATTTAATGATAAATATGCATCTCATTACAAAAATGAAACACAATCTTTGGCCATCTATCCAGACATAGTTCCTTTCAGCTTATAGGCTCTGAAAATGCATTTTAGATTGGAAAGACTCAAGGAAGGCACAAAGTGGTTGCCAGACCACATAGAAAAACTTCTACTTAATGATCAGAAGTGTGGGCCAATCAACACTTGTGAAAAAAATGGGGGTGAAAAAAAGAAATTTAGGCCAGAACAAATAAAAGAAAGCCTTGTTTTCCTTTTTGAAACCTCTCCTTTCTAATTCATTTTTTCTGTTTTATTTTATTTTACGATGCTTGACACATTTCCTAAACCTAACTGAAATCCTTTCTGAAACAAGGAAAGAGACAAAGAAAGGTGTGACTCTGAAAAAACCTTCATGTAATTAAAGGAATTGATTTTTAAGAAGACTATTTAGAAGTAAGAAGGTAAATTTTATCTATGTCACCACTATGTAAAACAAAACAAAAAAAGAACATAGATAAGAAACCAGAAAGAAAAACACCAAATAATCACAATACCTACCTTTGAATATTAGGATGATAATTTTTATTTTTCTACTTTAATTTTTTTCTAGATTCATGATCATTATCTAATATTAACTTTATAATAAAACTGTATTTTTCTTTTTTTTGAGACAGAGTCTCACTCTGTCGCCAGGCTGGAGTGCAGTGGTGCGATCTCGGCTCACTGCAACCTCCGCCTCCTGAGTTCAAGTGATTATCCTGCCTCAGCCTCCCAAATAGCTGGGACTACAGGTGCGTGCCACCACGCCCAGCTAAAACTGTATTTTTTTTTTCAAAAGGACTTACACATTCAGATAGCAGACAGGCAATTCTCAAATATTCAGCAATTACCTATTTACTTAATATCTGAAGAGCTGTCTTGACTGACATAAACTGAACAAGGTGACTGACCAATATTTTCCATATTCTGTATTCTCTCCATACAGTACTGACTGATGCCACACATAGCTAAACACCCCCAGCTACAATGAATTTGCAAACAAGCCATGCTGTGGAGTCCAACAGGCCTGAATCTGCTGGATAATGAAGCACATTAATGAGCTCTCAAAGCCTCACTATCCTCTTCTGTTAAATGGAGATAATTTTATAACCCTGCTGGGTTTTGCTCTGAGGATAATGCATTATGTAACACATGTAAGTGGTGCTTGATTTATTTTTGGGATGAAGTAATTTCCCTTCTCCCTTTATCTCACCTTTCTGGTGGTTTCTTGTCAAATATATTGAGCATATTGGTTATTAATATGTCCTATCCCTTTTTTTGTTGTTGTTGTTAGCAGAAATGGCTCTATTCATACTTCAAGTTCAAGGAGGTAGTGTTAAGCTGTTTTTAGGCAGAGATGGCAATCAAGGTTGAGTCACCGACCCAAGAGTGGCACAGTACAGGCCAGGTGATAAGACTAGTAGGGTTGGATAGTTGGAAGAACTCTGCAAATAGAGGTAAAAATAATCAGCCTTGCCCCTTCATGGATTTGGAATGGAAGACAGATGGCACCAGATCATTCATCAATAGTGAACGCAAAGCTAAACTGCAGAGAGAAAAGCTGAAATGCTATCTATAGTTAGAGGAACATCTTGAATCTCACAAGACAATAAATCCCTAGAGATCTGCTGGTTCCTGATGGCTCTGGAGGGCTAGTTCTGATGTTTATCCTTAAAATAACTCCTCTTTTAATCACGACGTTTAGAGGTAGGTACATCTGCCTTAGTGCAATGTATGCCCTCATTATGGATAGACTCTAGTTTTTAAACCTAAGGGCATACTTATAGGGGAGCAGAAAGAACACATGCTTATATAATCTCATTGCCCTGTCTTAATGCCATCATTAGGGACCAAATGCTTTTTGCTTTGGTTTCTAAAGAATGTGAAATTCTTAAAAAGATCATGTTAATATTAGCTTTGTTTCTTATTTCAAACAAAATGTTCATCTTGAAAAATAAAATTTGGTCTGTCGATTGCTGGGGTGAAGTCTGAAGGTGGGGGAATCCAACAAATTATTGCCAAGAGTCTGTGAATGCAAATGAACACTAAGCTTTGGAAACTGAATAGGGTTTCTTTCACATATTGCATTATTTTTCAAATTCATGTCAATTCTATCACTATTAATAAAATATGAATTAATTTTAACATTTCTAAATTTATAGTAGCTATTTGTCACTATGTGTTCTTTCGATCAACTACTAACCTTGGGAGCTTGAAAAAGTTGTTGGCATTACTAAGTCTTAGAAGTATAAAGCAGTGCTGCTGAAAAAGATTGGGAACACTTGACAAAAACTGTAGCCCTGAGGAAACCTCAGTGGAATTGAATGGTAATTCAGTAGTCTGGGGGCATTGCAGACCCTGTTGGCTGGTGAGAGTTTGATGTGAGTCACATTTTTATTCCGAAAAGTTCTTTTTTAGAACAATGTAAAGGGAGTGTCATTTTTTGGATTAACTTCTTGGCTATTGTTAAGAGTCACCAAAAAAAAGAATAGATACTTGGTGTGGATTCTCTGTCTGAAGAATTATACCACCATTTACCCAATCATTCATAAACAGTCTCTCTCTCCTCTTTTTCTTTCCTTACAAACACAGCCACGCTCCCCGATGATCTACCTCCTAAATTCTCTCAGATTTATACAAGTCTCTGAATTTGTGCCATATCAAAAGGAACATCATCTGTCATCTGGGCAACTGCAATAGCCTCCAAACTGGTCTGCTTCCATCTAGCATCTTCTTAATCCATTCTCCAAAAGTATCTTTTGAAAATGCAAGTCCGATCAAATCACTTCCTTTCTAAAGCTTCCAATAGATTCTTACTGCTCTTAAGATGGAGTAAAATTGCTTAATACTGCTTGGAAGATTCATCACAATCTGGAACCTGGCAGCTTGCTACCTAACTCTTCAGCCTCATCCTAGTATCTAGTGCCATTCACCCAAGTCCCTTTTTAAGAAGCTCCAGTTTTTCAACAGGTTCACTATCAAATCCAGCCCTTGTACATGCTAGGGCTTCTGTGGGGAGCACTCTTTCTGTGCCTCTCTTCACCTGGCTGACTCCTATTCCTACTTAGGATGTCAACACAAATGCCACTTTGTCTCTGTCCTAGATTCCATAGGCTGTTATTCTCTTTGTTATATATGTCCACAGGAGCATATTCTTCACCCCATTTTTCAGACTGATCAATTTTTAATCATCTGTTTATTGTCCCTTCCCTACCATAAGCTCTATCAAGAAGTCTATCTCTTTTTGTTTCTATCTTTTTTCCAGTAGAGGGCTTGACACATAATAGGCACTCAATTAATGTTTGAACTGTTGAGTTGGATTAACTGTCATACTCTTACTGAAAAAAGTTTTGAGGACCAAAGAAGCAACTTAAGAAATCTATTGAAAACAGATTTGTTCTCCCATGTCTAAAATGTCTCAGTACATAGTCTATCCTGTTTGTAGTAGCTCTTACCCTGTTCTACCTCATATGTTGCAATCTGAATCTCAGTTATGGACCAGGCATTATGGTACAGAGGATACAGAGATCTATCTTCTAAAGCATACTAAAATATATGGCAAATTTCTATGTTAATGACATCTTTTGACATAATGAAAGTTTACAATTCTATGGAGTCAAATATCCCTATTATTTTATAGCTTCTTGATTGCTTATTTCCCACTATATCTAGATTATCCAAATGTCGCTTAGATTTTCTTCTGAGGCTTTAAAAAATTGAAGTCTTTAATATGCCCGAAATTCATTTTATGTAATGTGAGATAGGGGTTCAGATTCACTTGTTTCTAAATGGTTAATCAGTTGTGCCAGTAGTACCATCTGTTAAATAAGCTACATTCTTCCTGCTGAATTGAAATGCCACCTTTGTTGATAATTCATAAAATCTTATAACAATGAAATACCTTTGTGAATACTCTATTTTGTTCCATTGGTCTACTTGTCTATTCATATGCCTATTCCATATTATTTGATTATAATGCTTGTGTGTTCTGGCACCTGGTAATGCAAGCTTACCCTCACTCTTTTTTTAAATACCTCTAATCTTGAGAATGCAGCCTTCCAGACAAACTTGAAAACCATGTAAAACAACTTAAAAATGCATGCCTAAAATAAAAACCCTTGTGTCATTATAATTATTATATATATATGTATATATATATGATGTTTTCCTATTGTCTTTTAATTTTTAACTGTATTTTCTGTTCTTCAATAAGATTTACAGTTACATATAAGCACTTTGTCTTTCTTTCATTTTTTAATCCTAAATATTACCTTGGTTGCTACTGAACATAGAACATTTTTTCTAATTTTAATTTCTGAATATTTTTTGATAAGCTAAAAGAAAAGGCTACTTTTTTTGTAATTTATCTGATAGCTAGTCTCCTTATCCAGTTTTTACTAATTTTTGTTGTTACTTGAATCTTTGGATTTTCAATATATATAATCAGCAAAAGATGTCAGTTTAATCTCTTTTCTGATGTTTATTTTTTCTGATGTTTATTCTGCTTATTTCATTTTTTATTATAGTGTTTTTCAGGGATAGATAGAAGTCTTTTTCTTTTCTATGATGAGGAAGGATATAAATATACAAAGATAAATCTGTATCTACTCCTGAGAAAACTGGCTCATTGCTAGATTTTTGCCCTATAACACTTAAATTACTTTAAAATTCTTGTAAGTAAATGAATGTGATTTACCTATGTCATTCAGTAATAATAGGTAGAACTGGAAGGATATTAGATAAATTCTAGTTTACCCCTACTCATTTTACATATGATGAAACTAAAGCCCAACAAAAGAAAGTGATTTGAATAAGATGAAAAGCTAGAAGCGAAGCCCAGCCAAGAATACCAAGGTTGTATGACCTCTTTGACAATGTTTTTTGTAAAAGACATAGTTGATTAGAACCTTAGGCATGAATTTAAAAAGCTGTTGTTGTTTTTTTTTTTGCTGGTTTTTAAATATCACATTTTAAAGAACAAATTGAACATCTACATTAAATATTTATTGTATCTTAAAATTTTATTACTAGTACGGCAGAAGCTTCTAGTTTTCTCCAAGACTATTTTCCTCTTCTTCTTTAGTAATAAAACCCCTAATTTTTAGCAAGGATTATATTAAATGTGACTAAATTCTGGCCAATGGCATGTATGCCAATTTTCAGGTGTGACTTAGGGAAGTGTCCTTAACAGGGAAGGGTATGACCTGACCTTCATCTCCCTTTTCTCCTTCCTACTGGTTAGAAAGCCGATATGTGGCTGCCGCCACACTAGATCATGAGGTGCAAGCCACCTGCTAAGGACGGCTAGCCAAGCAAAAAGGCTGAAGGAGTCTGGGTCCCTGAGAAGTCTAGGTTCTGGGTCCCTGAAACCACCCTGTCAGGGATTGCCTACCTCTGAGTTTCTTTATATGAGTGAGAAATAAATTTCTCTCTTATTTAAGCCATTGTTATCTGGGATCATCTATCATTTTAAGCTGAATTTAACTCTGATCTGCCATGTAAATTATGAGGTATAACAACAAAAGTGGAAATACCTTAAAGATAATCTGCAAACTCTTGCTCCAGAAAAAAAAGCATATCATAGATGTTTGATATCAGAATTCTGGTTATGACCTCAAGACCTTTGAATTTTAAATAATGATCATAATAATGACAATGATAACAATAATAATAGCTGTGTATTGACTATTACAGGGAGACAGTGGAGAGCAGTTAAGAAATGGGGCTTAGGTCAGACTACCAGATGTGCCACTTTTTGGCTATGTGACTGTGGGCATGTCACTTACTGTTTCTAAGTCTCAATTATCTTTATAATGGGGATAATGAAAATTCTTAGCATGAAGTTGTAATCATTAGATAAACACATGTAATGAAGTCAGTAAAAATTAGCTCCATGCAATATTATTGATCTTATCATTAAAACCCACCAGATTTCTACTACTTTAAAGGCCAGGCATCAAATGACACCTATGTGGCAACATTTATAATTTAATTACCACAATAATACTGTCACATAGGTATCATTATCTACATTTCACAGATAAAATGATTTATAAGGCTCAAAATATTTTGTGACTGAGCTGGAATGGAATGTTGGCTTGATTATAAAACCATATTTCTTTCCATGATACTATGCTCATTTGATTAAGATTTTATAACCCTTTAAAACCTTATGTCAGGACATAAGCATTTCAAAGTATTCTCCTGCTCTCATTATATACTTTGGTTGCTGCTTCCTCTTAATAAGAGCATTCCTACTCCCTCTGCCCTTTGTCTATCTAATTCCTAGTCTTGACATCTCCAAAATTCATCTCACCTCCAATCCTCATCCTAGGAAAGTTTGGTTCTGTGTGCCCCAGAAATGCTCCTGCAGCACCCTCTGCTTCTTTCATGGACTTGTAGAAGCACATAGAGTTGTAGGAGCACTTGGGCGTATCTAATGACCTATACATCTACACCACAGGAAAGCAACCACGGGTTTGGGAAGAGCACGTAACACACAGGTGCTTGTAAATTTCTTTATCTGGAAACCGTCCCAGGGAACTTTGCATCAGAGGGTAAGCTTCCCTTGGAGATTTACCAACATCAAAAGCTCTATTGTCCTCTGTTACTGGAGCCTTGTGAGTGAGGAATAAAATGGGAGATGGTAAATCCTGGGAGGAAGACCCATAATCCTCTTTTCAAAAAGAAATGCAGTAATAAGCCTCCTTTGTCAGGCCCAGCAATGGTAAACGAGTGTTAGTAGCAATCTCAGGAGGCAAAACTGGAAATCCAGACCTCAGTGGATTTTCCTGGAGTCTATTATTTCAAGCAGCCCCAAATATAGGTCTCCTTGTTACACTTTCTTACAGCATTACTATTTTCGTCTATAGCACTTAATTAATTGTAAGTGGTGCCATTTTGTGATTATTTGTTTAATATCCATTCCTCCAGCTAGACTCTAATCTCCATGAAGGCAGGGATTATGGTTGTTTTAGTTCACTTAGTGCTAGGCAAATGATGTCCAATAAATATTTGTTGAAAGAACAAATGAATTGGTGAAACAGAGATAGTACCTCATACAAAAGCTACATAGTGAATATAAAAACAAGGTGAAGTGAGTAAAAAGAGCATCGATCCAATTTGGATTTTAGAGACCACAAATTTTCTGATTTTAGGCAAGTTCCTACATTTCTGTATCAATTTCTTCACCTCAAATAGGGATAATATCTATTTCATTGGATTGTTGTGAAAATGAGTGAGGTAGTATGCATGTAAAGCGCTTGGCAGAGTCCTTGGCAAAGAGATGATATGTGCTAATGATTGTTTACAAACATGGCATCCTTAAAAAAAAAGCCATCTCTTCCTCTTTCTCCTTTGCTGGATTAACTGAGGAGACTTTTGGAACACCTGAATGTTCTAAGGTGTAATAATCTGTGAAAAGTGAAAAGACCTTGAATGACTAAACTCAGGCAGATGTAAGCTCCTTTTGCCCCTGAAATATCTTTCTCCTTTGGCCAGAAATTCTCACCTTCCTATTCCATCTCTTAGAGACCATTTGGTGTCCTTTGATTCATGCAATGCATATATATTGAGAATCTATAGAATGGTAAGCACAGAACTGGGCTCTGAAAATAATACCCTGGTGAACTACACAAGAAATGTTCAGCCTAAGAGCTTCATTTAAATGTGAATAAGTCCTGGAAAGAACTGTGGGACTTAGTTATACATATGCCACTGTGAACAATGATAACTATCTGGTTTTACACATCTACCCTATCCCCCGCTCTGTCCTAAGTATGTTACATGCACAATCCTATCTAATCTGTACAAGGACTATGTGAAATAGACTTAACAGTTTCTGTTTCACAGGCAAGGAATCAGAAGCCATGCAGCTTCTGATGTAGGGGTTTGAATTAAGGTCTGTGTGACACTACAGCCACAATTTTCCTTCTATCATGATGTCTGCCTACCAATGACTTTTAATGATCCAATTGATTTAAGAAGTGATGAACTGGCATATTTAATAATTTACTTCCTTTTATTAGATTCTACCAATATATGGTTGTTCAGTTGAATAAACATGGTTCTTATAATAACTGATGTAAAAGCAGGGGTTCATAAACGTTACATTTTCACTGGCATATGGACTCTGCCTGCATTTGTTACAAAGATCTTTTAAAAACTACCCTTAAAATGGAAGTAAAAGTCAGGGTCCAAGAGTTCTTCTTTTAGTTCTGGGGTGTAAAACTCATGGATCCTGAACCACATAAAACCATAGATGTGTTCGTATTGGTTATTTTGTTTGATGCCATGTTTTAAAAGGCAAAGAAATGAGGCAGGTATTCTGCTTGGTCAAAATACCATCATTTTAACACTCGTGTAACACCTGGCCCATTTCATTTAGCTCCTGCTTTAGACCATTAGCTTCTTGAAAAAAGATATTTGTCTTAAGGATCTTTATGTCTCTGGGGCTAAATTCAATTTCTGGCATATAGCAGAAGCAAAAGAAATGTTTTTCATATGAGTGAGAAAAAATCCTATGGTTAAGAGTTTCCTCCAAGTGTCACAGTAGGGTTGGGGCTGGTAAGAGACAGGACAAACTAAGCAAATGAAATTTGTCATTCACTACCTCCTGGGAACCCAAGAGCCTTCTACTTACTTTATTTTAACAATACTCTCTTTGGAGAAAAAATGATTAGAAATTTATTTAAACTAAAACATAAATGAGTGAATTCTGTTTTAAAGCACCTAACAATGTTCCCTGAGGACTATTTAGGTATAGAGAATTTTGAGAAATTCAAAGATTAATGAGGCCCTGAGTCTACGTTGTAGGAATTCACAGACTGTTCAGGAAGACTACCACTGGATATGATGAAGATGATATTTATGAAGGTGATAATGATGATGGTGGTAGCAGTAGTAGCAATGATCATACAGGCAAAGCATGGCATAAAAACTGTATTAATCAGTGCTCCAGGATCTCAGCCTAGACTTGGCTCTCTTTTCTGTTTCCTGCTCCAAAACAAAGTGACAAAAATAATGGACTTTTGGGCAATTGCAGGTAGGTTTTGATTAGAATAGGCTTTTCAGTTCGGAAAGGAATGCAGCCATCTGCTCATAATGCTGGCCCTGAGAATTAGTAACTAGTTTAGGTGAATTTTCCTCAATCTTCTAAGTGTTATGACCTCTCAGGCCTACTACTTTCTAGGGCCCAAGCCTCTGCCATAAAAAGCAGCAAACTTACATTCAAATTTCACACTCTGCCAGAGATGGGCAGAAATCTATGCTGAGGACACTATGCAGCCTGTAGTCAGAGTTATGTGCACAAAGATTTTCCTTTAAGTGGTATTTTAAAAGTTAAAATGTAAAACAATAAGAGAACAGTGAGCTAAACCTTGTTCATATATACGATGGAGTGTAATCCAAGTATTTAAAATATACATTTGCAAAGAATTTTAATTGAAAAGATCATGTTTCTGCTATAATGTTATTAAAAATGTAGAATATAAATTTTAAAGAAATGAGCAGTCTCTATTAGAAAACAATATTGAAAATGGAGGAAAATATAACTTAGTAATAGATTGCAGGTGATTTTTATTCTTTTTTCTGTTTTGTTTTCCAAATTTTCACAATGAGCGAATATTACTCTTTTTACTTAAAAAAGGCAAATTCCCAACCCTCACTGAGTCTCACTTAAGAGCTGTTATATAGAGTAGTGACTTGAAGGACCAGGTATCTGATTAATGAATTACCTGGAATGTCAATCGCAGCCCTCTTTAGTTCTGGTTGTTAGAGTTTTGTTAAATGAGTTTAAAAAACTAGAAAAAAAAGTGTTCTGAAAGAAAAAGTAATGTCTTCTTCATTTAATTATAAAAAAAAGAGTTCTGTACTTCTATCTAATCCTAGACAATGACAAAATGAATATTCTCACTGTTACAATGAGGTGATCTCAGTCACCATGATAACAATCGGTGGTATCCAAGCTAGAAACAAATTCAAATAAATGACTTTATTCCTAATTATCTACCATAGGAACCAATAATCACAATCCAGAGAAGATAGCTGGAATACTGTGTAGATTTTTAGCCTTCCCTCTATTATTCACCTCTCATTGAGTTTCCATTTACAGATGTATAAACTTATAGACCTATTATGAAGATTTGGGTACTCCTTACCAGCAACCTCCAGTTGGCATTTGAGGAGGTGATTCTCAGATAACATAGAAGCTGCTCACTTTACATTCTCTAAATAAGTAGTCATAAGCAGTATACTGTCATTGCATTATGAGCCCTTATAAATACTGTGTGTTGAATTCATCTACCCATTGTTCTACATAAAGTGTCCATTAACTTCATACATGGTTTTAGATCTACCCAGTGCAAAAGATGGTCTGTTGGCTATGCTCAGTTCCCTACTTCTTTATTATGAATTTATTTAACTTCTCAATTTAAATTAAGAGCTCTTGAATTGAGGACAGCAAATACTACTACTTCTTTATTAAAAACAAACTAATAATAACCACCAATGAGTTTCAAATAAAAGAGAGGGTTCCGCTAAGCATTTAATGGATATTATTTCTAGTCCTCACAACAATTTCGTGAGATACGTTATAATTTGCATTTAACAAATAAGACTGGGGCTCAAAGAGATTAAATTATTTGGCTAAGGCCAAGAAGACATTAAGTAGTGGAATTAGAATTCAAATTTGGTTCTGACATATAGTCCATTATTTTTCCATTTTCCCATGTTGCTGATGTCTGATATTTAGATTTTTTTTTCAAAACTTCCCTTTTACACCCTAAGAACCAGACTTTGAGGAGTGAAGTAACTTGCTCAAGTTCATATGAAAACAAAGCAAACTCAAATCTGAATCAAATTAATTGCCCTTATTTGTTTTTTAAAACTATGTTACCTCTGTAACATAACAGCAATCACTGCTAATACAATGTATGCCATATTTTAATTTTTCTATTAGTTTTAATCGGTATGAAGTTAAAGATATTTTATAATACTGTCATTTTTCTGAATTTGAGATAATTTCAAAGTTACAGATTTTCTGCCTTTTCATATGGGAAACAGCAGAACTATAAACATGTCAGTGGGGAAGATTCAGAGCCATTAGACATTAGCTACTTTGGCACAACTGTGGTCAAATATCCATCCAGGAACAAAATGGGAGTGCTCTCAAAAGATCAGTTGCCAAAGCACTTCAAGAAGTTTCCTCTTAATAAGAAGGCCACGCTTTTTGGCCTACTATTCCATTTTTCCTTTTTCTTTCCTCCCTCCCTCTTGTTCTCTCTTTCTCTCTTTCCCCCTCCCCCTCTTTTTATAGGAGACTTAACATTCACTGAAGATCTTGTATATGCGAGAGACTGTTCTAAGCACTTTCAAAGACATTATGTTTATCCTTACAATTAATCTCAGGAGTACAATTTTCATTTTCCAAAATTTAGACAACTTGTTCAGAGTGATAAGGCCTATCTTTAGTTTAAAGCCACATCTCTTTAATCCACAATATACTTCTCTCCAGTGAGATGCAGTCATGTCTCATATAAACAGGGTGCTATCTTTTCAACAACTGGGATGTATAGACTTAATTGGCACCCTGATTCAAATAAACTATAAAAATCCTTAGGAGATTAAAAAAAATACTTAGGAGATTTGAACACTGGCTTTATATTTGATGATATTAAGTGATTTTTTTTGCTGTGCTAATACTATTGTGGATATATGTAAACTATTACACACAAAATGATATGTCTTAATTCGTTCAAATTAACCCATTAGAGAGAGGAAGGATGGGGACGGCAGTGAAACAAAGTGGACTTAATACTGATTAACATTGGGTGATGGGTACATGGGGGCTTATTATATTATTCTCTCCAAATATGTACGCTTTCCCTAATAAAAAAATTAAAAAATAAAAAGACGTGTGTAGATTGGTTGTAGTTTGGTAGAACAAGAGGGTTTTGGGTTTGAACAACACATTTATCACTTAATATCTATGTGACCTTGGGCAAATTACTTTCATCTCAGAGACACAATTTCTCAGTCATAAAATGAAGCTAACCTTGCAGACACTTACCTCTAAAAGCTGTAAGTAATGAAGTAACGCGTGTAAGTATCCAACACAGAGCACTGTACGTGCTAAGTTTTTTTTTGTTTTTTTTTTTTTGAGATGGAATCTCGCTCTGTCGCCCAGGCTGGAGTGCAGTGGCGCAATCTCGACTCACTGCAAGCTCCGCCTCCCGGGTTCACGCCATTCTCCTGCCTCAGCCTCCCGAGTAGCTGGGACTACAGGCACCCGCCACCACGCCCTGCTAATTTTTTTGTATTTTTTAGGAGAGACGGGGTTTCACCGTGTTAGCCAGGATGGTCTCGATCTCCTGACCTCGTGATCCACCCGCCTCGGCCTCCCAAAGTGCTGGGATTACAGGGGTGAGCCACCACGCCTGGGCTTTTTTTTTTTTTTTTTTTTAACAAAATTGCTAGCTATTATTATTAGAAGGCATAAATGATTTCTGCTTTCATTTACTTGCTCTTGAGACCTAGCCTAGAGATAACTTTCAATATTCAGATTAATTCAATTTTGGCTAACAGCCAAAGATGAATGATATAGGTAAGCCTTCTAAGTACATGGTCTTCTACTGAGCACCTCTTTGGAAGAATGTCAGCTTTCCCAGTTTCTCCTATGCCATTGGTGACTTGGATCTAGATCACTTTCCCCTGTCCTCTTCCAGTTCTCATGGATTTCTTCTAATACCCATACCAGCAATTCTGGCCAAGGCCTCTTGTTTTAAGAATGAATCATATGCCATTTTTTATTATTCCTTGTATAGCCACTTTATCAAAGTATTGGCTACATTATTCTCTCATCACTGCTGCAAACATGCTCTATCATGCCTCCCTTCCCCATTCCAAGATGATATCTTGGGCTGATTTATATTTTTTCTGTCACTTGTAGGTACCAGAAAAGTGGTTGTTTCTAGATATTAAAAAGTTTAGTCTAATTTAAATATAAATTTCCACTATACCAATTCAGTCTTTCCTTAACTAGGATTTCAATCTAGCAGTGGGGAGAGGGGGTAATACGTTCTTTTGTCCTGCTGGCTTCCCTCTTGTATTACTTGCTCTGCTGTTTCTAGGGAGGGGGCAGAGAAGGGGACTATATAGGAAATGGACAAGGTCTTATTTGACTGGTGCCTGTGTAATCTGGCACTCTGTGAGTCAGATGCCCAAATGCTTTGCCATTATCCTGGGGTGTGTGAGGACTCTTTAACAACTCCTGACTGGGAAGTTCCAAACTCCACAATTTATTGATGGGTCAATGCACAGTTGACTTACTGCTCCACCTATTCTGCTGGCCTCAGTGGTACAGCTCTCCAAAGGGGACTTAGACATGTATCAGACATGATTTCTTCCCTCAAGAAATTTCCAGTTTTATGCGAGAGTTGGCATGTATACAGTGATTATGTGTTCAGATGTGCTAAGAGGACTGAGAAGCAACTTTTTGTTGCATTCCCTTAGGATGACTGGGTTAGGATATCTAAGTAAGGTTCAGATTTTCATAATCAGAACAGCTCTTGCAAAGTGATTTCCATAGTCCTTGAAGAGAACTCATCTCTGTTCATGAGTTCAAGAGCTTATCCAAGACAGAGTACCTGTGTTTGCATGCATATGTGGGTCTCTTTAGTTTCTCCTGTTGGTCTTACTGTCCTTACTCACATTATTTGGGTCTGTATATGCATGCTGATTCCTGGAAGGGAAGTCCCAGTTACTCTCATGGGCTTCTCTTAACCCCAGTAGGATGAAAATCTTATTTCCAAAGCTTCTTTGCTAGAGCAAACACGTGAGCTTGACTGTGGTTGCTTTTCTTTCCACAAGGGTCTCTTTGGAAGCCAAGACATGTTCACACCACTGAGAAATGGCTGTGGGCTCAAGTTCTACAACCAGAGCATGAGAAATCCAGAGGCAAATTTAAACGATACAGATGTGTCTCAAACCTTCCATAATTTAGGCTTTTCCTTCCAGATTATTTTACTTCAAAATCATTTTTTCAATTTAACTGTGAAGACCTAGTTATCATAGATCTATCATTCTTTCCCAGGACCTAGAGTAGGGGTGGGGAGAAGACAGGGGACATATTTTAGCAGATATAACCATAATATAATAATTTGCAGAAGATCAATAATTTGATTATAAATCACCTTTTTAAAATCTAAAATTCTAAAGTTGAATGATATGAACAATAAATTTTTTATTGTCACATGCTATTATGCAGTCTGTGAAGTATGCTCACAATATCTCGTAACTACAAAGGGTAGGTAATATCATAGTTATTCTCACATGAGGAAACTAAAACTCAGAGAAGTAAGTCTTCCACAGCTACACACTATGATGCCTAAAGCACAGGTGTGATGCCTAAAACACACATTTAATGACTACTAAGTTTGTGTACTTTCTATTACATAGTTCAGCTTTTGTCTTTCTAAAGCAGTTTTTCTAACTGAGTTCTTCAGAACAACAATGAAATGTTGATAAGTATATTTTCACATAAGTTTCCTGTACAAACAGGTTTGGAAATATACAATTAATCAAAGCTAAACAGATTCAGTGGTCTTTACCACAGGACCACTCAGACTTATTATTAACATGAAAATGAGCACTGGGAATATCGAAGAGTGGGATTTAGTAAGCATTTTTCCCCAAAGAAGTGTTTCAAAAAACTCTTTGTTTCTGTAAAGATATATTTCCAAAACGCTGATAGGTATTCTTACCACCAAATTTAAACCATCCTCCCTTTCAATTATGCACTTGATCTAGAATGAAGAAATTTCAATAGGCCTTCCTTTTTAATGCTGTCTTGTAAGTAATGATTTGTTATGAAGCTATTACTCTTAAATATTTTGCTTAAAACTATACAAAACAATCTATTACAGTACATTGAACATACTGTGTATATATCATGTATGTGTGTATGTATGTATCTATCTATCTGGATGTATGTGCATCTCTACCTCAGCCCTACCTTGAGTACCATTCTCTGCACTTGGTCAATCTGCATTAGTGCACACTTCTACAAACACTCAGCAAATGAAGGTTCTGATAGGCTAAACCTGATCTGAACATGTTCTGCAACATGTGTTGTGTGTATGGCCTCCCTCTTCTGCCATTTATTTGGTGTTATTTGAGAACCATTTATGTGATAAACAAAAGATATGCAAGTGATATCACCAGATCCTGCATAAGAGTTGAGGCATAGGCGTCTCCTGAAGTGTTTAACAGGTGCTCAGGGCACCTTGGGGGAAAAGGTAATGGAAAAAAGAGGATAAAAATCAGAAGATAATTAAGCACTGTCAGATGTCCTCTGACATTATTTATGAAGAGCACCACAGAATCACTGGAGTGGGAGAGGACTGTTCATCAACTGAACATTAGTCACTAGAGGCTCTGAAAAGTTTAGCAGAAGACATGTCTTAAACAAATGAAAGAGGTTTTCTAAACAGATGCAGGAACACAGGCCTAAGCTAGGGCATTGATTCAGTTAGCACACGCTTTCTAGGACTGCGCTCACCATGCTACCTGGGATATGTGTTATGTTACCTATTATTTAACTATGAGCCAATTAGGAAGATATACTTGGAAAAAATGCAGCAGGACACCTAGAACACTAGCCAAGGAGAAATGGTGAAATGTAACTGAGAAGGTGGTCAGAAAAGATAAGATGTGGGCAGGAAAGAAGATTGGGGTGTGCAGGGGGAGAAGGAATTATTTATATTCCAAGCTCTTTCAGGTGCTATATACACATCACTATATTAGGACTTCAACATTCATATAAGATAACTACATTATCCCTATTTTCACCAGTGAGAAAATAAACTCAAAAGATTAATTAGAACAATAACCCTACTCAATTCTATGAATCATCCAGGAGTTGTCCTATTATACAAAGAAACCTCAGAATTTAGGTGCAAGTTTTGTAGACTTCAAAAAGAGAAAAAGATGTCCTTTTTTATCTACAGATTAGAAATATGCCTGAAATTTCCTAGGAAATTGGGCAGGAAATAGAGGAAGAAGGGGGGAAAACCTGAAGGAAATTGAAAATGCTCTTTGAGGAGTTAAAAACAATAAGGTCACTTTGGATTTGATGTGTGTGGGGGTGGGGGAAATGTGGAGAGGGGCTAGAAACATTGTTTTTGGTTCAGTAGGAAAGAGCAGTTGGAAGGTATCTTTTCTTTATTGTAAAAGCCTGGGAGAAAAGAATGAAAGAGTAGCTCATAGGAGACTCTTCCCACAGACACACATTGAATGATTAGTCGCGAAATGGGTTGGAAAAATAGAGGAGGTGTGGGGAGAGTATCAGATAGAAATCCTGTTTTGGGAAAGTATTAAAAGATAGAAGTATCACAGTGTAATATTTAACCAAAAAAGCGGAGCTCCTGAAACGTTTTTTATTGAAGTTCAGTGATCAACTGTGAGTGCAGGTTGGGGGAGAAGGGAAACGTGTTATTTAGCTACACTGAACAGTAATTCATAGATAATAAAATATATCCAATAAGGAAATAAACTCAAAAATTTCCTTTCACTTCCATATTCTGGACTCAATTATATGCTGGCATTATATAGTAGGGTGATGATGATAAAGTAAAGGCATAATGGAAAGGGGATGCATTTAAAGAAGGAATAAGAGAAAATCTGAAGTCTTAGTGCAGGGATTTATTTCATTCTGAAATAATTCTGTGCATCCATACCACCTTTTCATTTCACTTGACTTAAAATTGCATTTATCTGTCTTCTCCATTAGGCATAAATTCTTGAAGGCTGGGATTGTATCTTACTTAATTTTGTTCTGCAGTGACTACACAGAGCTTGGCACACTTTCTCAATAAATCTAAGTTTTATAAGGTAGGGTAAGCACCGTAAACTGTTCACTATTTGATTCCTTATTTAGAAGTTGTGCAATGAACGGAGATTGCTTCAACTCAGTGACCAAAGTGGTTTATGAGCTATTGATTTCTGATTAAAGTGATGCTAATGATAAGGATAACTATTATTTATTGTACATTTTCAATAATAAGCCATTATATTCTTTACATATATAATCTTCTATTTTCTGTTCAAGAATCCTGTGAATTACTATTAGAAACTGAGGCTGAGAGTTTAAACAATTTATTCAAGGTCACAGAACTAATAAACTATGGCCCTGGGAATTTTTGTCTAAGTATTAATATACCTAGCTGAAGAACTTTATACTTCCTCTCATAATTTTCTCTGAGCCAACTGAAATCATGGTTAGAAGTTTCCCATTCACAAACTAAAAATGAGGAAAGACTAATAGTTTAGTGGTTTTCATCTCACTCAAGAATGAATACCTTTATAATCATTTAAAAGAATAACAATTTTATACATAGGATTTAAGTTTACTTCACAATTTCCTTTCATTTTTCATAAAATTTTTCATAAGAACAAGAAAGCAAAAAACATCAAGCACTTTATATAAAGTTACAGAAACTCTTGAACTTCTGGAATTAACAAAATTGATAGTCTTCCATTAACTCGTAACATCAAATGCCAAGAATTTCAGCAAACAGAACTTGCTAATTGAAAGTGAGCCTTGTGCAGCACTACTTGATACATTAAAAGCAAAATATTATATTAATAAGCATTTCAACTTTATTAATAATGCTTGATGGGTCTCCAACGGGACATTTTACTCAAAATTTAAAATTGGACTTCAAGAAATCAGAAATAAACACGCCAATCACAAATTACTAAAACCAATGCAAAATATAAAACACTAGTCTCCTGTAACACCAGCGTTTACTATTTCAAGAACTCTTGAACTGCAAAAAGATTCTAAAATATAAGATAACAGAAATATTAGGATCTGTTGATTTACATTAGAAAAAATTCACCCAGGTTTCAAAGTACGTTTAACATGTTAATGATTTGCCAAAAAAAACAAAAAACTATTTACATAAAGCTCCTCAAAAGTTCATAGTCTTTCAGAGCCTAAGAAATAATAAACAAAATCCAAAAAAAGGAGGAAAAAGTATACTTAAAAAGTGAGAGATTTCTATTTTCAGAAAAGTATTATATGGGCAGCAATGAATAGGATTCATTCTATGCATCGATAATAATTGCAGATAAATTTAACTGATTTGTTAACACTTTGCCTTTTATAAGCAATGCCTCATAAAAATAAAATCGTTTTTAAGTAAAAGAGATCTACTTTCTACAAAAAGTTCAGTAATTATTGTATTAGGTACATTGAGCTTGAAGACCACTTGGTGAATGAGAGTACTCCAAGTCTTAATTGTAATTTAGAACAAAAGGAAATAGAATGCTCACCTGGAAATAATCCAGTAAGTCCTTGGAATTACCATGCATTAAAAAAAAGAATAAACAATTGATGGTTACACAGCAGGTCGTCTGTGTTAGGACTGCAGTAAATTAAGTAAAGAGGTGGAGAAATCCAGAGAAAGTGTAAGAATTGTGAAAATTACCCAATCTGCATACTTTAAGTTAGCTGATAGGGGTATAGAACAGCTCTTGAACATATTCACAGGCACCTTATGATTAAAGTGTCAAACCTCTTTGAAGATTCCTCAGTAATTTACTATTCCATTTCTGTTTCATTCATTAAATAGTTTCTAAAGCATCCCCAAGACCCTTCCATTAGTAAAAGTTCTCAATGATTTAAGCTGGGAGCAACGCAAACTATTTTGATTCACTTAAGAGTGCATAAGTTACCTTTAGAAACAAACTGTAAATGAGAAATGCAATGATGTGGTCCCCTCACAGGGTGAACATGTTAAAATAATTCCATAGCTCAAGAGAGCATGATCTAAGTGGAGCACATAGCTACCACAGTCTAGATTTATATTCCCTCTTTTACTTATCAATATTCTTATTCTTGTAAATAGGTAAAAATACTTTATCTTTTTACTTATTAAGAGACAAAAAGGATAAACATGTAAATAGATTTTAAAGCACTCTTAGAGGTATTAATATAATGCTTTAATATCTTTACAAAAAATAAATCATAAAATAATTTTTTTGAGATAGGGTCTCTCTCTGTCATTCAAGTATAAAATAATTTTTAATCTAGTTTTTTTCGTTACTAACAAAGATACTTAAAGAAATGTTAATTGTGCACATGGTTTCAGTAGAAATTTAATTTTTGATATAATTAACAAGGTACATGCAACTGATTCTTATTAGAACAAATATTTAATTGACAAATATTGAGTTTCCACTATAAAAGACATTGTACAGATATTGTGGAAATATTTTAAAAGGTCATTAAAATCATTGCTTTTCCAGACAACGAATTCATATTGTAGGGGTGTCTTTAAGATAAAAAAATTTCCTGAAGATACTATTTTAAAAATGGATTGGAGGGATGGATTAGGTGACTTATATGGATCTTGTCCAGCTCATATGTTCTATTAGTCATATGAATTAACCATTGGGATAGTAAAACTATCAATCATTCTTTAATATATCTCTGTACCATTTGATACTTTAGGAAAATTAATGTTTATATTCACTATGCATAATGAAGATGGACACTGTCAGTTTAGATTAATTAAATGTGATCATTTCTGTGGAGAGAGCCTTCCTATTTTCCTAAATAATCACTAATTTTAGGAGCATAGAAATCACTCAAAACAAAGAAAAAGACCTTGAGAACAGTGAAAATATATTGCTGTTATCAATTAGGAAACCATATGTTTGATACTGATGCTGAACTGTTATTCTGTGAAACTCCCTAGGGAGCCTCTCCACAATGTTTGGAATTCATAACTACATGCAACCCAAATAGAAAATCTATAGCTTGCCCAAGACAATATTCCTGATGCTGTAATCCTATCACATGTGACTCACATGTAATGGGGAGGTGATTCACAGTGTAGTAAACCAAAGCGGGGCACTTAGCAACTACAAATCTCCGCATCTCTGCAAAGGCTATCTATCTGGTGTTCAGAATACCCTGGAATGGGTATTCTGCAAGGGTATATGAATGGGTATATCAGCAAGATCAGGTAACATCTAACTAACCCGAGAGCATTTGTTAGAAACAGACTCCATCCAAGACAGAGCTCATCCCAATTCTGTAAAGATTTACCAACAGAGGAGGGGTTAAATTAAATTGTTAATTGGTAAAGGTGTTGAGAAACTCACCACTTTGCTTCTTAAAAGCTTCAACAACTTCCAAGAGTAGTTACCTACTCTTTGAAATGAGAAAGAGATCCCAAGTGGGACTTCCTCTGGCCTTGCATTCCAATCATCAAGCTCCTCCTTTCCTAATGCCTCAGCTTTTTTCATGTAAGAATCCTTAGCATTTCCCCATTTGTGGTAGTTGTGAGTATCTTTCTGAGTGCCTGGGAGATTACATTTTTGGAGAAGAAACAGGAAGGCCCAGACTATATTTAGGAGGCATAGAATGTTATTGTATAGGCACTCAGAGAATTTTTATGGAAGAAAGGGAGAAAATGAGGAAGAAATGGAGAAAGCAAAAGAGGAAAAAAAGGAGAAAAAACAGGAGGAAGGTAGGAAGGCCAGTTAGGCGGGTCACCTTGTCTGCTTTGCAGCCCTCATCCAGCAAGATGAGAGCAGAAACTGCGAAAGAATAAAACAAAAGATCTGCCTGAGGAAAAGCTATGCAAATGCTTTAAAAGCTTTAAAGGATGAAAAAGCTGCACTACTCTCCTCTATAGCACAACTTCAGGTTAAACCAGTCAAGCCTTCTTCGGTCTTTCTGTCCCTTCCCTTTCCCTTCTCCGCAGGTGGCTTTATCTGGAGGATTTCCAGGAAGGCTGGAGACAGGCATCTCTAATTTGGGTTCTGCCTCCTAGGAGCCAGAGGTGAGCTGGCAAAGTCCACTCTGGAAACCCTGCAGCTTCCTCACTCCACGAAGTCCTAATCTCTGCAGCTGCAGTGGTTTTGGAGGAGGACAGATGGGGAGAAAAGTGGGAATGTAACTGCAGTGTCTTTGAAGGCTGGATTCCCTGAAGGATTTTGGGGAACACAGCAGGGAAAGATGGAAATGGGCCCTGGGCAGTTCTCAAACAGGAACTGCAGATTCTGATACGCTAGTGCTCCCGGCAAACGCCAAGGATTCCAAAGAAATTGTCTGAGATGCAGAGGAGGCCAGAAAAGCCAGACTAAACATCCAAAGAGGTGGGGATATTAGAGGTGAGGGGCAATAAAAAAGAGAGAGAAAGAGACCTTACAAGACAAAGAGAGGCAAGGAAGAGAAATGAGGTGGTATAAAAGGGACCCCTAGAGACAATTTCAAAAGATGTGCTGGAGAGCAGACAGTTATTTATTTGAAGTCTGCAGCAATGTCACTGAGACTGCTGAAAATGAAAGAGAGAAGGAAACATTTCCACTCAACATTACTTTTTAATTGTTTATTCCATAGACTAGAAGTTAATTGACTTTTCTCTACATCCATGGTTCTGGGCCTCAGTTTCCTCATCTACAAAGCAAGGGGTTTGGACTAGATACCTTACAGGGTCTCTGCCTAACTTGATCCTCTCTGTCAACCTATGAGCCAGGGACTCCAAGACCAAGCATTTATCAGTTTTGATACCTAATTCCCCCCTTTTTCCTCTACCACCCCTCTTTATCAATGCAGTGTCAACACCTGCACCATTCATCGAACTGATGCCAATGCTCAATGATGACAGGGAGTATGGCTCAATTATGACAAATGATTAGTCCTTCTGCCCTGGAGTAAGGAAAGAAGGAATAGACAAGGCAGTATGATTTATACTGTGGATTTCCAATGAGAGGTTCTTCTCGAATTTTCAATTACAAATTTCATCCATTTAAATAAATTATAAATTCCTTTGAGGGGTTCCAAATGGTTGGACTGATCAAAGGGCCAAAGAGCCCTATTTGATGGCCCCCACACCCGATTTGAGGGAAAATTTATTTCATTTCATCCCCAAAATTGGATTTGCTTATTTCGTGGAAATCCAGCACGCACTAGCCATGCTTTTTTCTCATCTTTCTGCCTCATGCCCATTCTGCCAACCTGCTTCAGTGCAGCATTTTCTGGGGTTATTAAATACCCAAGGCTTAATGAGAGTGCATTCAAAAGTAAGTTGTTCAATGATGTAGGATCACCCCCTACTCCCCCCCACCACACACACACAAACACACGTAGGCAGTTTAAATGATAGTGGGGGTAAAATGTGTTTTCACAAGAGTTTCATTTTAAATTTGTCTCAACCTGAAATTCCTTTAGAAATTAAAATAAATATTAATATGTAGAAATAAAACTCCCCAGCTTTTCTTGCCTTCAACTGGAAAGTGATACACAAATAGTATGTACTTAGTGTTCTCCACAACCACCAACAATTCTATTTTATTTTAGTTTCCAAAATACGGACAGGAGGGCAACTCTAGAAAAATGGATTCCCACTCTGGCATCTCACAGGGCACTGATCAGGCAATGCGGAGCACTCATCATTTCCACCATGCAGGGAGCATCAGCCTCTCCTCGCTCCTTCCACGTACACATTCTTGTACCCCTGAGGGTATTCATCATTCTGATTTCCACCCGGGGTTTGACCTTGCAAAGACCCTTCTTCCAGTTTCTGGGCAAGGAACAACCCATTTTAACTCAAAACACAAAACGACCTTTTATCCTTTAAAGAAATACTACCAAATGTAACACACCTTGATTTACATTTTTTAACCCCAGATTCCGGATGGCGAACACGGAATGCAAAGGCAGGTAACTAGTTTGGGTCTGACAGTCCCCATTCAGCGACCGAGCCTGTGACTCCGTTCAAAATCGACAGTGCAGTAGAGCATCTTTCCCTTTTCTGCCCATTCACCATTGTGACAAAAATCAAAGACGAAAAAAATTATCTACTCATTTCTGAATACTGAGAGAAATGTGCTCATTTTGCGCCTGACTCCGTGGATCTTAAACACTAACATCCCGCTCAGAGATCAACCATGATTTCCATACCAATCTCATCCACTCAGTTTTACTTAGCAAACACCTTTGCTGCCCTTCCACAGTGAGAAAAATGGTGCACCAATCCCACGGATGACAGGTTGCTACTCGACTGTACCCGCTCAATAGTTTTATCAGCAACCGGAAAACTTCACAATCGGTCAATTAGCTACTTAAATCTGTCTAAGACAAACTAAGAAAGCATCTCAGTTTCACCTGTCTTAAATCTAGTCTAAGACAATCCCCCAAACACGCCGCATATAAACACTCCCCCTTCCCCCACCCCCAATATTCCAAAAGATCCCCCATGGACTAAGAGCACATTCAGATCGCCAGCATTAAGCAAGGAAATTGTCCCCATGCATTTAGACGCATCTATGCAAAGCAAAGTATGTGACAATAGCCAAAGCATTTCTCTGACAGTTGGTTGCACTACACATGCAGAAATGCAACGAAGATTGTATTTTCCACTTACAGTTACAGCGCTGCGCACGGTCACTTAACGAAAATGATAAAACTCAACAGTTCTTTTTAAAAATATATATTTAATTCGGGTAAACGCTTAAGCCGTCTCTGTGTGTGGTTCTCTCTCGCTCTCTTTTTCTCTGGAGCTCTGGGCTGCTTAAATCCCTCTTGGATCGCGCCTTGCAAGCCCAGCCGCTGCCGCAACACGCTCGGGTAAATCTCTGCTGCAGATTGGGAATCCCATAGAAAACCTAGGGTCCCTGGAGCTGGATGCGCAGGCGCGCGAGCCTCCGCCTCTCCAGGCACCCCCTCCCCTTTCCTCTCTTCCCTCCCCCCAGCTCCGCAGCCCCAGCTAGGAGAACTCGGGAGCCTGTGACCAAAAGCCGCCTGGCGATGGCGCATGCTCAGTCGGAGGGGCTCGGAGTTTCCGCGGGTGGATTCCACGTCTCCAGATTTTAGCAAAAGCTCAAAAGGAAAGTATATAGGAAAAGGGAGTCCGGCTACCGGAGCAACCCGCACCTGGACGGGCGCGAGGGACTGCGGGTTACCCGGACTCGCCACGCCCAGTGGTTACCGAACCTGGGGGCTGAAGGCCGAGGCCAGAGATGGAACACGTGGAGCCGCTTTTCCCGCTGCTTTCTGTCCTAGCCGACCCCCGGCCCACCCTTTGTTAGGCTGTAAGGTGAAGGAGAAAACTGCAGAAATCTCCGAAAGAAGACTTCCCAGCAAGCTGTGAGCACGTCTACCTGGCTTACTGAAGGAACGGTTATGGTGGTCATTTTGTCATGGGCCATTTCATCAGAGGGTCTTCTGCTAGGAGTACTGGGAGCCGGGTCCTGCAGCACCCAGTGCCCCGGACAGTCTCGGTCCAGAACGGCGTTGAAAAAATGTGTGTTAAAGGGAGCTGGGATCCGAGGCTTCTTGCCCTGTGTACCCTGAGCCAAGCGCCTTCTGTATGCACTTAAGTGTTTTTAACATATGCTTTGCGTCTGGGGTGGGAGGGGGTGGGTGAAAGGGCGGGAATGAACCATTTTGCGAACCCACGTTTAAGGGCTCTGATTAGGCCATCTTATAAAGCCCCCTTTGTGTCCTTGAACAACTAACAGGTTTGCCAGCCCTCCCCCCGGCTCCCCATTGGCCTGCCAAAGCCTAGAAGGCTTGGCAAGGAGTAGTGCCCAATAAATGTTTGGTCGGTCGCTTCCCTACCAGAAAAGCAAGGAGAATTCCCAGATGTTCCCAACCAGACCAGTTTTCCTCAAGTGTGTATGTTGTACATGAACTCATTCAACAATTATTCATGGAAGCATTTGCAAAACTATTAGACATTCCTTTATGCTTTGGGAATAAGTGCGGTTAACAAAACCCCCTCCTGGGCTTTACATTCAGGTGGGAGTTTTATTTTCAAGGGAGGGAAGTTCTGGGGGCGAGATGAAGATCGAGGTTCTCCTTAAGCAGAGCGCTGTACAATTTGCACAGCGTCTTCACACACCTTATCATGTTCAGGAAAACTGTAGAGTTGACCTACCCTTCGGTGCTGGGGACACCAAGAGCGTCTCCCGTGGCAAATGAGCTCTAAATTGACAAATCTCCAGCTGCTCCTGGTTCCAAGTCGAGGAGTCCAGCTTTGAACAAACTTGAGACTACTTAAGTGGGCACCAGGAGAAACTCCGCCAGACAAGTCTGTGGCTGTCGACATGCTAAGTGAGGGCCTCAGGCAGTGATGCCTAAGCCTCATTCGCTGCCAACCTAGCCAGCCCAGAACCCAGGAACTGGCTTCCCGGGCAGGACGCCTCGGGAAGGTTGCGCAAAGGGGGAGCGCGCTCTCGGGACTCCCGGGACACCGCCCGCGGCTGTCCCCTCTCGGCAGGGCTCTTCCGCCAGTGCTGGTGACCGCGGAAACCCGGAGCGCGGAGTCGCGCGGACCACGGCGCGCGGCCCCGGCGGGCTGCGGCAGCCGAGCACGTTTAGAATCTGGCGGGCGCCAGCCCTTCGCTCTGGAGCCGCAGTGCGCACTGCGCTGCGGGGCTCCCGGGCGCGCCGGGCTGCTCCTGTTTCCTGGGACTGGCAGGGGGAGTCAGTCCTGAATAAGTCACTTTTTCTTTTTAGCTAGAAAAACGACTTTCAAAAGGCTTTCAAAATCTCGTCTTTGGTCGATTTCCCCTACTACAGCATTTTACGCTGAGTTCTAGTTTCTCTCTCGAGAACAGCCTCCGCACTGTAATCTGCATCAACCCAAAGGGTCATGATGCCATTTCTCCACTTCAACGAGATATACCTATTTATTGCACCCTGGAGGTCTCTTTCGTGGCGGTGTTCGATTTTAGATAACTTACTTGCAACTTGTGTTTAGGAAAAAATGTACACTGATACTTTAAACCATGCTCTGTTGTAGGGTACGATTGATATCGACGCGTGCGCTTTTGTAAAGTAGCTTTGTCTACGTGGGCGGGCAGATTTTTTAAAGTTCCATTTGCACTGCAGCGCTGTTTGCGTCCTAAATGCGATATTGTAATGTTTAATATCCAGCTATTATGTAGCTTTATCTTTTTCAGCTTCTAATATTTTGTTGCTGTTTAATTTTTTTGGCATGCCTTTTAGTCGAGTTGTATATACGAAGTCACAGTAAGAAAGCCAATTCTAAGACTCCTAAGGAATATTATCGTTTAAATTACAGAAGGCAAATCCCCTCTTTAGGATGGGAGAATGTACTTGAAGGGAGGAATGTGGCAGGGTCCCTCAGAAGTGAGGGAGCCCGCTGTTCCTCCTTCAGGCATTTGCGGATGGCACTGGTGATCACAAAAAAGCGGAGATTACGCTGCCGGGCGCTCCTGTGGTAGAGGGACTGGAA
Organism: Homo sapiens; assembly: GCF_000001405.40. Taxonomy (NCBI): domain Eukaryota; kingdom Metazoa; phylum Chordata; class Mammalia; order Primates; family Hominidae; genus Homo; species Homo sapiens. The sequence goes on along the minus strand of NC_000002.12, from coordinate 17,538,080 downwards.
CACTGTCCCATGTTGAGTGAAGAATGCCATCAGCTTTACCAGTTGTCCCGTTACCTAAAGCCACGTCCCCAACTCTACAACTTTCACACCCTGGATTTTTTTTGGGGGGTGGGGGGGTATAGAGGAGGAGGAGGAAGGTGCTGTAGGTAGGGGCTTGTTTCTTCCTTCCTGTGTATCTGGTAGAATCCTCAATTAACCAGAAACAACTGAAGAGCTATTTTTCTTCCTTCAGTTGCAAATTATGTTCTTTATAGAAATTTCTAGCCTTACTTCCACCTTATTTCTTCCCAGATTCAAACAAACAAACAATACCAACAGTAGATTTTCAGGTGTAAAATACTCCATGTAATATTCTCACTCGCTTTGTGACGTGGACGAATTGAAAACGGAGAATGACAGTAAAAGTGTGAAATTCCAGTAGTGTAACAGGTCTAAGCTCATAGTCCTGGGAACTCCTGGTAATATTATTTATTAGAAAATTTGTGTGTAAAATATATGAGCCAAGAAGGGTGGAACTTAAGGCATGGGGATATTTTTTAAAAATTGGAAGAAAACTTGAAAGTCATTATTAGAAAATGAAAAGAGACCGGAATTGAAGAATGGATTTATACTCGTTTATTCTTAAAGAATAATGATAGTAATTTACTTCTATGGATAGCATACCTTTATTCCAAAAGCAAAGGGTATTAATCATTACAGAAAAGGTGTGTTACGTAAGATAATTATATTACGTAAGATTTTTTTTTGTTTTTCTGAGAGAGACAGGGGTCTCGCTCTGTTGCCCAGGCTGGAGTGCAGTGGCAGGATCATAGCTTATTGTGGCCTCAAACTCCTGGGCTCAAGTGATCCTCCCGCCTCAGCTTCCCAAGTGGCTGGTACTACAGACACACACCACCACGCTTGGCTAATTTTATTATATTTTTGTAGAAACAGGTGTCTTGCCATGTTGCCCAGGCTGGTCTGAAACTCCTGGTCTTAAGCAATCCTCCTGCTTTGGCCTCCCAAAGTGCTGAGATTATAGGCATGAGCCATCTTTTCCAGTCCTATTCTGACTTTTTAAATCTTTTTTTAAAAGATGCAGATAGACCAACAAAATAAAATAACTTCCCTATAGTCAAATAGGAAGTATCTCTTAGAATACAGCCCTACAACAGTTTTTCTGACTCATAGACTGTCTCATTGTATATGTCTGTGCCCCTTCTACATGTTTTTCTAAAATACTGAAAAAAATGCAAGACCATGAAGCAGTGATTCCCATGCAGTTAATGGGTGAGTTTTAGGCCTCCTTCTGCAGAGAAGGGAATAAAAATTCTAGTTTTAATGAACTTGATTGATCATGTCTCCCAGTCCTCCTCTGATTTCACTCTGTAATCCATGACTGGATCTAAATTCAGTCTGAAAGATCACTCTGTCTGTAGACACTAATTTCCTCAAAATTTGAACAATCCACAATAAAAGTTTCATAAGGCCCTGCCAGATGAATCACCGTGAAAGATTTGAGTTTCCTGGAAGTTTCTTGGGGCCTCAGAAATAGTCATAGCAAATACAGGTAGTGTGCAGCCTCAAGAATAGAGAATACTTTATTCCATTTTCTCTTCTACTATTTGGCCTGACATATAGATTCATAGCAGTGCTCTGAAGCTGGAAATTTTTACCATTATCGTTAGTGGCAACACTCCATAAATGATGATAACAGAATTGCACTGTGCATGGCCCTGTTTCTTTTCATTCATGACTTTGTAGGTGTCTTTATTGCTAGGCTGTACTCTTTTTCAGTTGTGTGAATCGCCATTGCAGATAATATCACGGATCCATTTTGGGGGACCTCGGTAGTTGGAAATCATTGAGTCCAGAAGGGTCTTCAAAAACCCTTCTTGCCTAAAGCAGATCTTACTGACTTGTTTCTCCCTTTAATCTGTGTTTTCTTTAATCTAGAGTTTTTAATTAAACTCTCAACCTCAACAGAGATTCTTAGCATAGAAGTTAAGAGAAAATACGAACAGTGATTTCTATGCCCCCTCAGAGACAACCAACTAAAACAAAACCCACTTTTTTTTTTTTAACCAAACAGTTTAAAAATTTTATCCTGCCTGAAGGAGGAAAGAAACAGTGGGATCCCTCTTTTTTTTTTTTTTTTTTTTTTTTGGTGTTCTTACCACATATATCCTTTAGAGTTCATCTTATCATTCCTAAGGGGGTGTTCAAGAAGAGAAAGAATGATCACTGGTGTTCTTAAATCCAAACATTCACCTTACTCTCGACTTCCTCCTTTTAAAACTACCTATAGAGCATCTTCATGTTAATTTGTTACAGATGGCTCAAACTCAACATCTCCAAATGATTTTCTCCCCTGCCCCTCTGCCTCCTTGGATCTGTTCTTCCCCCTGTGCTGCCTAGCACTTTGACGATGCCCACTATCAACCCAGTCCTCTAAATTAGAAGCTTGGATGTTATCTTCAGCTTCTCCATTTCTCTAATTCCTCATCACGTCGTTAACTGAATCCCGTGAATTCCATTTTCTGAATGTCTTGCAAATTCATTCCTCACTGCCACTGTATTAGTTCAGCCTCTCATCATCTCACTCTTGGAACACGTGTTCTTTCTCATTCTCCTAACTGTTGCAAGTAAAATCGCGTCACTTCCTTGAATAAAATCATTAACTGGTTTCTCACTTTAAACAACATAAATTAAAATTCCTTAGCACAGCATGCAAGATCATTTTCTGGCTCTTGAGAGCCCCATCTCTTGCCATGTCTTTTTAGTGCTCTATGCTCAACCGTTCTGTGTTACCTGCAGTATACCAAATAGGTAATAATGTTTCACTTCTCCGCACTTATCCATATACTCTTTCCCTTTTCCTGGAAACTCATCCTTCCCTTGTCTTGCCTTTAAGGGTCTTATTAATCCTTCAAATTCAGCCAAAAAATTATTTCCCAGCAGAAGAATCTTTTCCTACCACATAGCAGACAGTTTACAGAATTGTTTTGAAGATTAACTGAGATAGTATATATGAAAATACTTAACTAGGAAGCTCTATTTAAACATAAGATACTATATAATGACAATACATCTATTAATTATTAAATAAAAGCCAAAGTCTGCTTTTCATTTCAAAAGGCAAAATGAATGCTACGTTGATATGAGAAAAAACTCTCGAATCATTTTGATTGAATTTAAGGTTCTTTGATATGAAGAAACTTTATAACTTTTAAGCATGAGTGTCTTCCACCTTGATTAAATTATTATCATGCAAATAATCCACAAAGTATTTAAAAGCATTTATTAACTGATTTTTCAAGGACTTTTACTCAATTATTCTTGTTTGTTTATTTTTCTGGACATTAGGCATAAATTACAAGTGTAGAACTATATTAAAGTATCTTCTGTTTTATAGCTTTTAAATGATTTTACTATTCTTATGTTATTTGATTCACAAACAGAGAGCATTACCCCCATTTCATAGGTGAGATCAACTCCTTAGGAAGGCCATATTACTGAACATTATGAACTTGATTAAAAAAAAAAGAAGAAGAAGAGAAAGGCCATATTGTAATGCTTTCTAAAAGTAAAGTGGTATAATGTGACAAAACTAGGTAGGGGCAACCCAGTAATGTAATACTAGTTATTCAGCAACTGCTACTCTCCGATGCTGAAAAAAAATGAGCTACTAGTTTCTATCTTTCCGAGTTTCAGGTTCTTGCTTGGGATGACAAGAATATGCAGTAATAGATTATAATTTAGGAAGAAGATGAATTACCATTACATACACTACTAGAAGAGAAAACCAAAAATATTTGGCTCACTTTGTTTTTCTTGATTAGGAAACCAGAGTATATAAAAACAAAAAGTCAAAGAGTATTGGGTATTCCACTAATAGTTCATAGTCTAAAATACCATGGAAAATTTTGCACTAAAATTAAAAATTATATACTTACTAAAGCATTTTTAAAATTTATACATTTTGCCTCAAAACTCAGAGGCATCAAGGAATTCATTTTTATTCAAGTTGCTTGAAATATAACAAAGAAGGAAGAAATTCTATTGGAAAATCCTATGGAGTAATAGTTCTGAGGCTATCTACTCATATTTGGTGATAGAGATGTAGTTTACTGTGTCATTTCAGACTGGTTTGTTGTATTTTTGATTTTAATGAAAGAAAATTAAAACGAAATCAGTAAAACATCATCCAGATGGCTGGAGTGCAATGGTACAATCATAGCTCACTGCAGCCTCAAACTTCTGGCCTCAAGTGATCCTCCTGCTTCAGCCTCCCAAGTAGCTAGCACTACAGGCATGCACCCCTATGCCTAACTAATTTTTTAAATTTTTTGTAGAGATGGAATCTGGCCAGGTTGACCAGGTTATTCTTGAACTCCTGGCCTCAAGCAATCCTCCTGCTTTCACCTCCCAGTGTGCTTGGATTACACATATATGATTTTATTTGAAAACAAAATTTCACTGCTAATTTTTAATGTTTAAATCACGGAGGGACTAGAAGAGTCATAACTAGAGGTAAAGAGAATTGGAAGAAAAGTTTTTACAATCACATTAGAAGAAATAAACACTTGAACCAGAAAAGTGGCAGTGGAAATGGAAAGTGTATGAATTTGATATTGTTAGAGTAGAATCAACAAAATTTGATACTTGATTATGTATATTGGAGAAGGTAAAGTCAAATGCAATCATAAGATTTGGAACTGGATCATTGGGACAATGGTATTGATTTTAGTAAAAACAGAAATGCAAGTTTGGAGAAGAGGAGAGCAAGAGGATTGACTTAACTGCTGGACATGTTTCTTGCATTTGAAAGGCTATTGGCACATATAGGTGGAGAGGTCCAGCAGACATCAAGAAATTGCAGGGATGGAACTTGGGTGGGAAGTCTGTGCTAGAAATATAGAATTGGTGGTTATTCATGTACAGGTAATGGCTGTAGCCAGAGAATAGGTTTGATTGACAAAGGAGGAGTATAAAGAGAAGAGACAAGAAGAGTAAAACTTAACCACCAAAGTTTAGAAAAAAGGAATTTGGAAGAGTTGCTTTTGCACTTGTTATTCTCCCTACATATTTGTTTGCAAATTCCTAGAAAGTAGTAACAGTTTTACTGATTTTAGTATTGTCAAACAGCACTTGGAATATTGTCTGTAAGAAAGTATTTGCAGGATTAAAATGACGATGTGTATTTAACCCAGCTAAAGTAGAACATGGTCTGTTAATAACAAAAATAATAATTTGTTTCAAATATATGCATGCTGGCTAAATTGTTTTAGAAAAATGTTAATATTTAATTAACTTGATTAATAACTTTTCATATGCACATGCATGCATATGAACATATATGTGTTTATCATCTATCTATCTATCCATCTATCTATCTAGTTTTTTGTTTTCATATTTGGAGTCTGTAGTAGATATTTTTGGAGGAGTATGCCTAGCCCACAAGTCAATGGTTCCCTTGCCTCCAAAAGGGTCTAAAGAAACAGGTTCCTGACTGCTGTTTGTTCTGGACACTAAAACCTCGCTAGACCAATTGGATTTTTTTCTTATAATTTTTTTTTCTTTTTTGAGGTGGGGGTCTCGTTATGTTGCCCAGGCTAGTCTCAAACTCATACAAAATTCCTGATATCCTTATAAGAGAAAAAACACAGACACAGAAAGACACAGGCAGGGAGAATGCTGCGTGACTACAGGGGCAAAGATTGGAATTATGCACAAGCCAGAGAACACCAGAGATTTCCAGCAACAACAAGAAGCTAGAAGTGGCATGGAACAGATTCTCTCTCAGAACCCCCTAAAGAAATCTCCTGATGATACTTTGATTTTAGATTTCCAGCCCCCAGAACTGTGGGAGAATACATTTTTGTTGTTTTAAGCTTCCAAGACTGTGGTATTTGTTACAGCAGCCCTAGGAAACTGGTGTAGAGGACAACTGCATTTAAATACAGCATGTGGGTGTTAGGTTTATGATAAAGAATATTCTGGCAGTGCGATAATAGAAAGAGTTTTCTTTTCTGCAAATATGCTTCCCCCCCCACCCCGGCTTTTTTTACTGTGAAAATTGCCGAGGTTTGAATTAAGAGATGTGGATTCAAAAACCAACTCTGCTTCTTATTAGATGTGGTCTTGGGCAAATTACTTAAGTTCCCTTCATGCCCTGATTTCCTTATTTATAAATTGGGAAAGAATAAAAAGTAGAGATCTATGGTTCACAAATTCAAGATATTGGGCATCTAAGAAATTCTGGATAATAAGTTAATAGTGCTAATTTGCATCTAAGATGATATTGAGCCAGTTTCTTCCAATGCAAAGCTAAATTAAATTCACAGTTTTAGTTTTATTTAAAATAACTTCCTTAGAGACCTTTCATTATTGTTGCTCATGGAAATCGGATTAGGTATACTGATCACAGTACCACTGCTGGAAGTAATTCAAATTCTGCTTAAGATTTGCTAGGCTAGTTTATGGATATTTGAATAAAATTCAGTATTAATAGCACTGTAATGTTAAACAATATTCTGAAATTAGACTTATATAACACCTTGCCAATGATCCATATAATGTCATTTTTAATAGACTATTTTTTAGAGCAGGTTTAGGTTCACAGCACATATGATGTTTTTAGAAACATTCATTGACTGAATTCTGGTTGTGTAGATTGTAGTACAGTATTAGAAGTTCAAACATGTTGATTGTGGATTGGTTGAAAAATAAGACTAAATAACATTATTTAATATGTTATATATCTTAATATTCATAAGGGACATGTCCTAAGGCTTTCCCGACTCCCCAGTATGTGAATATTACTCTAGGAAAAAATTACTTTGTTGGTAAATGGCCATATTATTGCCTATGAGTATAAAATGAGATGATAAATAACAACAGCAAAGCTACATTCAGCTGCACATACCACATGATCAGCTGACTAAACTTACTAATTTAATTAACTGCAAGCAACAGCTTTATAGTTCCATAAAATTCACATTTGTGCTTTAGCAAAATGACATATTACTACCTGTCATGATAACCTTCAGGGTCATTTACAAATAGATACAGCCCAAAGATTAAATCTGTAATGGTTACATTCTATGAAAATCCTGCTACCTGAAAACTTTATGAAAATTTTCATACATCATTGTACAATTTGAAAAATAAGTAGTTGAAACTTGAGAGCATGAGCATTTTGAAAGCAGTTTGAATCTGATGGATTAAGGACCATTTTAAATGAACTAAAATTTACTCTTTGGTTTTTATGCCTTCAACACTCACTTTTAAAAATAGGCCTTTATTAAGACTTCTAAATAGATTGAAGTTCTTTCTCCCGTTATTGAAGATAACAGATCTATCAATCTAAGAGAATGGACCATTAATATTATTATTTATGCTTGTATTATTTTTATCTTAAAAGATATGTGGATAATTTCCCACTTTGGTCTAGAGGAAAGAATACAGTAACTCAATATATGTCTTTTTTTTTTTTTTTTTTTTTTTTTTTTTTTGAGACAGGGCCTGACTCTATTTCCCAGGCTGGATCCAGTGCAGTGGCACAATCTTGGCTCAAAGCAGCCTCAACCTCTTGGGCTCAAGTAATCTTCCCACCTCAGCCTCCCGAATAGCTGGGACCACAGGCATGCGCCACCACACCTGGCTAATCTGTTTATGTCTTTAGGGACACCAGTATTCATCTGAGGAGTCAGTGCCTCTCGAAAGCTGCCAAAATAACTTGTAGGATCATTTAAAAACTAATTACAGAAAGCTTTACCCAGGAACATTAAGGGAGTTAAGATAAAATGTTCCTGATGCTGTCAGGTGAGTGTGCTTTTTATTTCCTTCTCTGAATATTTCTTTTTGGTCCCTGCTATAGCAAGGCTTATGCTGTTACTTGGTGACACATTTTATTCAAATAGTATGAATAAGCGGAAAGGTGCCAAAGATGAATCTCCTGAGATTTATGATAGAATCTTCTCCAGAGAGAAGAGAATTTTACTCTTTGGTAGTTATGGTGACACTCTTGTTCTGTGAGAAGAACTGGGAATGGGGCAAGAAACAGGCAGTATCAGTCAGTGATTTCTGATCAGATCCTATGCCTGAAGTTAGATGAATCTGAGCAGGGCAAGATCCTCTGAAAGATCTGACTCACTAAGAGCATGTCCAGACAAAAGTGATCCCCCAACCTGTAGTTTATAGTGTTCCTAGAGCTCCACTCAAATTTGTACCCCCAAAGGACGAATTGTACAATGGAATTCCACAGGAAGATTCAGATTACAATGTGATGCTTAATTTGTATAACTGTGAATTTTCTACTTATTCTTTAAGGTCTTGTTTAAATCCCATGAATACTTCCCTGCTAATCTATCCCAGGGTGATATTTTCTTCATTTCAATTTTTAGTAGTCTTAATATGAATGGAATATTCAATGAAATATCACCAGGACACATAGTTCTTCTTTTAGATTTTAGTATCTAATGATATCATAAAGCTACTTATTGCAGAAGCTGCATCTTATATATTTACTTTGTATCATTCAGAATGCTAAGTTCCTGATTCATAATAGAGCTCAACATTATTTGGTTGATTAATTACTCTTTCTTTTTAGCTTTCATTCTCAGTGGGTTATTTTTCTATGATTTTACTATCTAGAAGAATTAACATTCCATTGGAAATTTTGATAATTGGGAAGATTATTTTTATAACTTGATAATTTTATTTATAATTCATACTATGATACATAATTCTGCACTTACAGAACCAAAAACAGTAGAAAACAGTTGTTTTTTAGTAATTCTAAAGAGAAAAAAAATTTTAAGTAATTTATTTATTTATTTTTTATTATTAGTTGACAAATTATGAATGTGATGTTATAGTAAATGTATACAGAGGAAAGTTGACATGTCCCAACAAGTGATTATATTTCTTAATATATAAGATATTTTATAATATGTTAGAATATACTATGAAAGTATTTAAGAAAAAGTGACTGTGTGTTTAAGTTAATTTTCATGAATATAACATGATTAGATTGATGAAAGAAAACACATAAGACTTGACAGGGAATTTCTAGATTTGTATGACTGGGAACAGTTTTTACAATTGGCAACAGACACTGGAACCATCTTTTGGCAACTAGTATAATCATTTGAAAGCCAAGAAATATGTTTATATTCTTTCTTAGGTACTGGTCCTCCTTTTTTGCTACTGACAAATGAAGTTTGTGCTAGACTTTATTTTATTTTATTCTTTGAGACATGGAATTGTTCTGTTGCCCAGGCTGGGGAGCAGTGGTACAATCACGGCTCACTACATCCTCCGACCTCTCCCGGCCCAAGCAATCCTCCCCTTCAGCCTCCTGAGTAGCTAGGACCACAGCTGCGTGCCACCATGCCAGGCTAATTTTTAAAATTTTTTGTAGAGATGGGTGTTCCTATGTTGCTCAGGCTGGTCGTGAACTCCTGGCCTCAAGTGATCCTCCTTCCTTGACTTCCCAAAGTACTGGTATTAGAGGCGTGAACCACCGTGCCTATCTGACTTTATTTTTTCTCTAACTGTTCATTAGGTAGCTTCCCTGAAACTGATCATAGCTTTCCAAGGTCGTGGTAAAAATTTAAATAGTTTTTCCCTCTCATTCTTTTTAAGGAAAATGCCATATATATTTTTATGTTTTAAGAGTGATTGTCTATATGCAGATAATATTAAAATCTACATGCTACTGATTTAATGATTATTTGTCGCCTACCCATACTTAAACTAATTTTTGTGAAATTAGTTCCAAAAATCACAAAATAAACACTTACCATATTAATCAATCAATAAAATATCTTCAAGGAGTTTCTGATTAAAAGTATTTAGATGACAACAAACCTGAGTAAAAATTTTGCCACCTTGCAATATAGTCAAAATGAGACTACATTAAAGCAGGGATCAAAATTTGAAATCATTTTTTAAAACCAAGCCAACCACACTAGTAGAAAGAGGTAAGAGGTTTATTTTTCATCAAGTGTTAAGAGGTTTCTATCCTCACAAAGAATTTATAGGTATCATCTGATAGTATATATAAGTAGAACAGAGTATAAATTATATCATTTTTCCCATGATGATATATAGTTAGAACAATATTAATAGTGGCAAAAAGAAGCTGGGAGAATGCAGTTCTGATGTTTCTGCCCTTCATAACCATGCCAAATCATTTTAATATGCATATGAACATGAAATCATCTGCATTTATAATCCTTATCTGCTGTTGAACTCCATTTATGCTTTTCCAACTAGCAGTCTAGAGCAATAGCACTTTCTTCAATACAATATGTTTAAATTCAGATGCCTCACCCTCATCCTTATGATATACTTTCACACAAGTTCAACCTCTCTACTCCCCTCTGCCATTAATAATATGTTTATTTTTCTAGTCAACTGGGCTTGAAACCTTGAAATAATCACTGATTTCTTACCCTCAAAGCAGCTGTAACAAAGTTCTAATGATTATTTCTAAAATATATTATTCCTGTGGCCGATACTACAATACAGGTTCTTAACATTTCTGGTTATATTATTTCAATGTCTTCTAAACTAGACCAATTTCTCCTAGAGACAGTATTCTCTTGCTTCTGGTTCATGCTAAATTGGCTACTATATAAATTTTTCTAAAATGCTATTTACATATATCATTTTCCTGAAACACACAAATATTGTCTTGTCTGTGGCATAAAGTCCACCTTTCCTTAGCTTTGGCATGCAAGGTTCTGAACACCCTGGCCTCAGCCTCTTTCCCTCCTCTCATCCTTTTTTTCTCTCCATTCCCTCCCTTCCCTTGTTCCTCCCTTCTTCCTTTCCTCTCTTTTTCTTTCATTCTAAAAATAGGAAACACAGACAGAAAAGGATATCATTCATAAATGTACAACATAATGAATTATCACAAAATGAACACACCACTCAGGTAAAGAAATAGAAGGCTGAAGCATGATAATTTTCGGGGTGCGGAGCCCATATTTCTTATGTTCTTTACTACTCTATATTGGCTGTCAATAGATTTCTGGCCTTCTTAAAATTCTTACTATGATTTCAGTGTAAATTGATACAAGTTTATAGTGTTCATTCCTCAAAGCAACAGAAAAAAATCAAAATAAAACAAAAAGCCTGAATTTTGAGCTTGTTTTCTTGCCAGAGTTTGAAAACCTTTTTCATTAAAAAAAGTGCAAAATAGTTTTGTAATTCTACTGAACCTCTGGCAAATTCAGTTAAGGCACATTTTTTGAGCAGTGCAGTGAGTGTAGTTTTGACTGTTGTATATCCAAACTCTTATCCTTTTCTTGTATGCCTTTCTTGTAGAGGGTTTAGGGTTACAGAAAGGGTTAGTGGTGAATGATGCTACATTTCTGTTTCTTGTCTTCTATTTCTCAATCCCCAATACCAAAGTCTCCTGCAGACATCTGGGATACTTCTTTTGGAGTTTAAACTGGCATATTTTGGTTCCACATTGAAGTTCCTGACAAAGTTTGACCTCGTATTAGTACTTCAACAATGGATAATTATGGTCTGAGGCACTTCGTCTATAAATCAAACTCGGTAGAAGGAGTATTCCCTGCAATGACATGCAGCAATTGAAATAGTCATCTTTTTATTTTTTGGTAATTATTCTACCAGTTTGGAGTGTAAAAGTAGAAAATATGATGCTGCTATTACATTGCTAAGCAAGCAGAAGGATATCCAACAAGGAACCACATATAAATTTAAGTGTTCATGACTACAAGCCTATACCTATTGAAAGACGAGCCTTGTGTCCAGAACAGTGATGAGCACATATTCTGTGCTAAGTATCATTTGAATGAATTTTTTTATATGTGTTTGCACCCGACAGAGATTTTATATGCAAAAATAAAAAAAAGAAAATCCTCTGTCTTTTTATGCTTTACTTTTTAAAAAAAATACAACACCTGGATTGTTGTAGAGCATATTAACTTAAAATTCTATTTATAATCCCTTGATTCATTATATTACTTATACATTACATATATAATATATAATATCATAATTAGCATGGCTTGGAAATATATGTTCATTTTGCTGCTGCTTCTCTTTCTTACCTTTTTGTTTTCCACATACGAGAAGAAGGGTCATATATGTATGTTATCTCTTTACTCCAATCATGATTACTGTGGTTCTGTTCCTGCTTAGCTACACATTATATTCCAAGCCCAGCTGCTGCCTTGTTTGAATGTTTCTTGAAGAAGGCATTGTAACTTTAACCAAGCAGCCCGTATTCTATATCTATGGTTTTCTAGGTTATTGTCCAAGGTGCAGGCCAGATAACTTTTAAGAAAGTCATTTCTAGAGTCCCTCTGAGTGGTCTCCAGAAATTGTGGGATTAGCTTGTGGAAGTTGATATGAAACTACAGTTAAGTGGGTGATGAGCATGAATGACCTCAGGCAAAAATTGCAAAGCAACTTTCTTCTCTATTCATAAGTACTATGTAAAACAAATATTACATATATAATGAGTATGTATCAGATTGCATTTCAAAATTAAACATGTTGATCCTATTTTTTCCCCATATAGGGCATAATTATCTTTGAGAAACTATTAAAAATTAGGGAAAAGGTTATCCTTTAACAGAATTGTGTGACAGCACATTGCAGTACGCACTAATGCCTCTCCCCAATTCCCAGTGTTACATTTCCTTGTCTACTTTCTGTGATTCTTGGCTCTTTTTCTGCTAGACCCCTTCAAATATCTGCTCAAGGGTATCATGGCCTTGGTCACATTTTCTTTCATTAATTCTCCTCTTAAAAGGTCCACTGATGCTAAATTCAGTTATGTGGAATATACCAAACCCATTCATTATAATTAGAGAAATCCTGGGATACATACTACATTCAGGATAGGCAAGTTACTATATCATAATGTCTATTTAGATTTAGTTTTTTAAAATATTGCTCAGTGTCTTCCAGGCCCTTGTTGCTTTTCACCCTGATTGGCCAAGCCTTCTTGTAACCAGATTCCTTGAGTCAGTGGCTTTCAGATTAATTCATCTTTATTCCTACCTCTCAGTTTAATGTTAGAGCTATTTCCCCACTTTCTTTGTCTCTGACAAAACAGAGCTCTATTTTTTGGACCTTAGGTTAAATTTTGTTTCTGGTTGAAACTACTCTCCTGAGGCTTCCTAGATCCTGTTTTACAGGAATTTTTCAATCCTTTCCTCTGTGAAGCCTTCCTTGCCTATTTTGTATAGAATTTATGTAATCCCTCCCCGAATTTTCACAGCATTTATTTTTTACAGTACTTATTTTCTATATCATTCACTTGGTATATTTTCAAGCTGACAGTTTAAAAAATGTCTATCATATGGTAGGTCCCATGCTAAATATTGGAAATATGAAGATAACCAAATTAACTATCCCAAGTCTTAAAGAGCTAATAATTTAGTGTAAGAGATAGTATGTTACAACTAATCTCTATATAATTTTATAAGTATGCAATAGATGTCTGAAATGTTATGGGAACATGGATGAATAATTGATTAGTATGGAAATAAAAGGAAGTTTTACAGAAAACTATAGGCTTATAGGAATTAAATGAATGAATATAACCTTTAAGACTCAGCTTTTGGACACCATTTCTTCCTGAAAGTCTCCCCTAAGTCTCCAGACTACATTTGATCCCCTTTCTTCAGTGGCTAGATATAACTTTACTGTAGCGCTTATCCTATTATACTGAAATAAACTATAAGTCTGTCTCCCTACTGTACTCTAAATTTCTGGGAAAAAGACTGTGTATTATTTTGGATTCCTGATACTTAACGCAATGCTTGCTGAATAATAGATGCTCAATAAATGTCTTTTGAACTGAACAACAAAACAACAAAACACATGAATGTTTGGAAATTGCAAGTAGTTTTGTGTGGCAAATTGTGAGAGGCACAGGAGAGGAGAGTGAAGTGGCTGAAGATAAGGCTGAAAAATAGCTAGGACAAAGTTGTGAACAGCCTGATTCGGCAATGTATTGTTGGTTATCCTTTTATATGCATATTTCTTGTTAGAATGCATTCTTTAGAGACAAGGATTAAATCTTACATGTCAAAATATTTCATTCAGCATCAGGCACAGATCCTTGCACATAATAGATGTTCAGCAAATCAAAGGAGAGTTAAATCATCACATGACAGCATCCACTTAAAAGTACTTTGAAGATTATATTATGATTCAATGATTATTCATTGATAGTAGGCAGTGGCTATACTCTGTCCTAGATAATGATAGAGGGAGTATTCTTTTGATCCATTGTTTTCCTGTGAACAGAACCTATGTGCATTCTGAAATCACGAAACTATAAACAAACTTAAAATATTAAATAGCTACTTTTTTGTATATGTTAAGTTTTGGACTTTCCACTCATAAAGAACTATCAAATGAGATGAAAACTAACTACAACGAGCTTCTTTTATTTTTAAATGAGGTTTTTGCATATGTCCTGGCATCAAATATAGAGTCTATTGAATTGCTTGACTTTGATATTAGCTAGACAAACTGCCTGGCTCACTACAGCTATAAGCTTGTAGTAAGAATTGACTTAGATAGTATGAATAATATAAATTACTATTGAAACATAAGACAGAGTTTGATGCTGTACTATGCTGGTAACTGTTAACAACTGGTTTTCTAGAAAAAAAAGCTCTGATCTGTAGCATATGCTGATTTCAGTGATATAAATACTTCCATTATGAGCCATTTACAGTGATGTAAATACTTCCAAACTACCCACGTGAAGTTACTGAAATACACAGTTGGGAAGAGATGCTAACAATCAACTCTTCTGAATCTGTAAGAGCCAGCTCAGCACACTATGAGTTTGATAATAATTATTGTAATTAAAAATGTTTTTAAATGGACATTGACTGGGTGCCCAGGACTCTTCTAAATGCTTTATATACTGTATTTCATTTACTTTACCCAGCAATCTATGAGGTAGGTTCTATTTTTTAATTCCCATTTATGGGAAGCTGTGTCTCAGAAAAACTAAATAATTTGCTCATATTACACATCAAGGAATGAGTGGACTATAGATTCAAAAACTTAGTTTGATTCGACTCTACTCCTCCAACTACTATTCAATATTTCTTTCAGGATATAAAATTAAATTATGTTCAGCATAGTTTTCATGTTAAATGTATTTTTTATTTAATGTCAATATATGTAATTCCTTGAAAATTTTAAGTAAAAGATAGCTATATAAATTTGCCATGTCCAACTAAATATTTATGTGACTAAACTCAGGAAAAAACTACAAAAGGAGGAAGTAATCTAAGTATTTTAAGTTTATATGATTAAAAAAAGACATTTTGTCCTCTCAAAACCTTGAAAAGATTTTTACAAAAGTCTAATTGGAAAGAACTCGTAATTGTTTTTAAAAAAGGTGTTATTTGCAATTGCACGGATTCTAATAAAAAACAAACTCTTGCTTTATTTCAGCGACAGGGTTCTTAAATTGTTACTGAAATTTATTAGAGTATCAAATGGATGTTGTAAATAGTGGAACATTCCACCTGTTTTTCCAATACTTAGAGCTCAGGAAAAAGGTTATTTCTAATTAGCTAAGTAAGCAGAAAATATAATAACATAATAATGCGGAGAAATTTAGAAGTTAAAAAAAAGGTTAGCAAATAAAACTGTAGGGGTCTAAAGATGACTGTAAACTTTGGATCACTGCAGAAAACTTTCCTAAGTAAGACCTGCCACTATGCTTTAAGCAAACGAAGCAGCATATGGCCTAGACTGAAACTGCGAAGGGCTTTATACATTTAAGGGATGGCAAGAAGTTAAGTGCTGCAGGAAAGTAAGTTGTGTTGTGGGAGTAGATGTGGAAGCTGAAAAAAACAGTTTAGAACTGAACTATGAGGAACTTTCTATGTCAAATTAAAGTTTGTATTTTATTCTGAAGGGCATCAAAGGTTAAAAGAAGTTCTTAAGAAAGTAACAAAATGATTAATATTCTATTAAGAAAAAAACTTTTGTAATGGTATTGGGCAGAAGTTGAGAAGAGACTAGTAAAATGAAGACTGGTTTATTACAATATTCTCAGAAAGAGATAACGAGAGATTGAAATAAAGATGATACATTATGGATAAAAGGGGGATTAATTTCAGGGTCATATTTGATGTAAAATCAACAAGATTTGATGAATGTCTATGTAGGGGATGCATTTTGGGAAGTAGTAAAACAAAAAAAGAGAAAAAGTTAAGGATAATATAAGAGTTTTAGTTTAGGAGACTGGATAGATTATGATGTCATTAATGAACATTGAGGACAAAAAGGTGGTTTATAGTTTAAAGCATTTGCACATATGTTATCACATTTAAGATGTTATTTATGTTACAAATTACCATTATTGCGCTGATAAAAACTTAATCTTATATGCAAATAAATGTACACAGTATCCTGATTTTCTTATTTTCCCCTAGTGCTTATCATTGACTTGATGAAAAGTGCTATTTGTGTTATTTATAGCCATATTTATTTTAAATATTTTTAGTAAGTGATGATGTTTTCCTTTCTAACTGCTGTATTTAAATATTTTTGTTAGTGGTTCTTTTAACTGTTTGAAATATATTTTATTATCTTTCAGTTTGAAACAAACTTTTAGATTTAGCATATTTATTCACTTCTTACATGATTTATTAAAAGAAGTAAAAGGGAAAAACTGTCTTGTCATATTTCTGGTTCTACCATGAAACACAAATGATGCTAAAACCACTAATATTTGAAGTCCATTTTGAACTCCTATGGTGTTATAGCTCAGCATAGTTTTCATGTTAAATGTATTTCAACATGATTATAAAAGCAAGTCTCTAATGTATAAAACTAAAGCAAAATAACACAAAAACAAGAAACTTAAGGCACTTTCAAGACACCATGAATCCATTTGAGTTGGTAAATGAGTATTAACCATGGAGTCATTTCATTTCTTCTAATTAACTGAGGTACTTAGAGGCACTGGGGATACAAAAATTAATAAATCCTTGTCCTGATTAATGGAGCCTAGTGGAGGGGACATATAAACAACTCAATACAATAAAGACATTTTAAGTGTTCTACAGTTAGAAATAAATTGCTATAGGAAACAGATGACGATGCAAGTAATTCTGCCCAGGGATTGGCTACAGCAGGGAGGAGGAAGAGAAGCTTTCACCGTAGAGGTAACTTTTGAGTAGGGCCATTTAAGGCTTAATAAGAATTTGCCAGGAGGAGAAATGAAGGGCTTTGAGAACATACATAAAAGAGCAAGAAAATAAACATTCTGGTGTAGGCAGCATGGGGGCAAATTGTTTAAAAAAAAAAAAAGAAGCTGAAAGAGTTAAGTAGGACCTAGTAGTGAGGATGTGACATACTATGCTTAAGGACATTAGACTTGATATTGATATTGAGTAAATTTCTGATTTAACTCTAATAGGAGATTGTGTCATATCTTCAGTATGGGGTTTATCTCATGAACTCATTAATCCTTTTATTCATTCAGAGTTGAACTATAAGAAGACACCACGCTAAAAGAAATCAGATAGATGCTGTCTTTAAAGCTCAGTTTACTGTTACTAAGGAAGGTAAGAACTTCAAAGGAAGGGTTGGGTAAAGTGATATAGAAAAATATGACATTTGAAATGGGCTTTGAGGCATCAGTAAGATTCAGACAAGTCTTATTTATATTTTGATTATGATGAGTTGAAGACATAATTTTTTGCATTTCTCACTTATAACTGGTTCATTTTCTAGGTGGCATTTAAAAAAACAAAGGAAAAAACCCACATAAATAGTGGTTTCAATAGCCATTGTTTGAAATGGCAGTGGCCATTAGTATAATGTTTAAATAAGTAAATGCAAGAAAAGACTCTTTTTTTGGTCTTTATGGCTGTAAGTTTCTTCAGGATGGAGAAAATAACTATACATTTCTGTATCTTGGAGTCAAACAATTGTTGAGTTACATGTAATACTTCTGGGTTTTATTTGAATTTTAATCCTTAAACAATGTAGAGTTGTTAAATAATGATGTGATGGAGATATAAAAAATAATGTGCTCTTGGGCAAACTAGCAAGATGAAGAAATAATCAAATATCAAGTTACAGATCAATCTAGACTAGAAATCACAATCAATGGCATTTACTTTACAGATTTAAAAAGTCTTGGTCCTAATATCACACTAGCGCACCAATTATATACACCTTAGCTATACAAGTCACCCCTTATGGGCTAAAACAGAATGGATTAGAAAAGAATATAGATTTGTGGAAAATCTGGGATAGAAAAGCAATAGAACATAAGATACACAGAAGTAGAACTTGGAGAATTCACTGATGTGGAATCTGAACCACTGCCACATTCTTATTTATAGTGTTAATGAAGTGCTTCTGCTGCAAGGCTTTCTACAAACTTAAGTAAACATTTCTCTAGAGGAATTTACACTGAAGTAATCACAATGTATCTAAGAGTATTTAAAAAACATGAAACTGGTGAACATCTTATTACCTAAAGTAGAAGGCTAGTTATATATTGCCATCTATGCCATGGGAGGGTTCTGAAGTTAGGATTCTGGTTGCATGTTATTGTAGTTATTATAAATTTTAGCATAAAATGTAATATAAAACATACCAAGCTTGAAACAACCACCAAGGGAATCGAGGTGTTTATTACTGAGCACCAGTTACATGTTTCTTAAGAAACATGTATATAATAATAATAAACATTTTGAAAAACATTTTCTTCTTAATGATTATAGAATTCACAAAAACCAGAATTGACTGGAAATCATAAATGATTCTCAAAGCAGGAAAAAAAAAAACAAGAAATAGCGTCTAAAAATTTGTTAGTAGGTATGAGTCAGACCTGTATTATTATGTTTACACTAAATGGGGTAGTTCAAACATATAATATTTTATCTCTAAATAATTTTATCCACAATATTTGAGAAGAAATCCCCACAGCACATAGTAAACTATTTTTTTTTTAGTCTTAAGTGAAGAATAATAATTATCCGGATAATAATTTCCACACATTTTTTCCTCAGATAGACTGGTAAGTACTGGTGGCTTTTTTCCCCCAAACACACTTTATTAGTGAAGTGGAAATATTAATATGATCTTAAGTGACGCTGGAAGGATTAAAAAGTTTTTCCATACACAGAGAGATTTGGTCTGGTGCTGACAGAACTACACGATTTTACTGGAGAGTCACTCGAGCCGTTGTGGAGATGCCGTTTCTGAGGTAAACAAAATTTTAGAATTTAGAAAATAAAGTTGTTACCATTCACAAATTTTTTTTTTTTAAGTGAGAGGTTCTAACTTTTCCCCTTCGTTCTACCACAGGGAAAAAAGCATTTAGACTCTCTACAGTCGTGGCATTAGAAAAAGGCGCTAAAAATAGACAATGTAACGGCCCAGGGTGCTCCGACCTTCAGTGGTGAGACAACCGGGGCGCGTGGGTGGGGGCAGGGAGAGGAGGGACTGAGGGAGGCGGGGCGGGGCTGAGGCTGGGGCTGTGGAGGGGCGGATTCGGGGTGGGGCAAACCCTGAGATTAGGCTAAGGCCAGGTCTTGAGGGGCGGGTCAGGGGCGTGACCAGAGCGGCCCGGAACCGCCTATTAAGGGATTGGAGCCCCGCCGGGACTCGGACAGATCCTTTCCATTCGCTGTCATGTCTCTCCCTCAGCCCACGCCGCGGATGGCCGAGCTCAGAAAGCCTACCTCCTCTTTAACGCCTCCTGAGGACCCGGATTCCCAACCACCTAGTAGCAAGCGGCTCTGTCTTGAGGAGCCTGGAGGTGTCTTTAAGGCGGGCTGGCGACTGCCTCTGGTGCCTCGCTTGTCTGAGGCGGAAAAAGTCTGGGAGTTGTCCCCTAGACCCTTCAAGGGACTCCTTGTTTCAACGAATGCTATTTTCGATAACTCCACAGACTCGTGTGTGGAGAAATCAGTCAGTGGGAAGCAGATATGTAATCTGAAATGCTCAAATCTCAAATTCCAAATGAGTAGCTGTTTGCAGTCTCCCCCCTCACAAAGTCCTGATTCTGATTTGAGGGCTTCAGGAAGGTCTGAGGCAGGCCTGCATGACAGAGAGGCTTTCAGTGTGCACCGCAGTAATAGCTCCAAAGCAGGGGTTAGTCAACTTCTGCCCAGCACCTCTATACACGATATACATGGAATTAGAAATGAGAATCGAAAACAACAGTTTGTCCAAGGAAGAGACAATGTTCACAAAGAAAATCCATTTTTAGATGTTACCTTTTACAAGGAAACTAAATCACCATTTCATGAAATTAAGAACAGATGTAAAGCTAACAGTGTTGTGCCATCAAATAAAAGAGAAAATAACATTTCATCATCTGTACTAAAAATATCAAAATCTCAAAACCAGCCCAGCTTGGAAATTGCCAAACCTAGCTATTTTAGAGATAGCGGCACAATAAGTGTCCCTCAGTTTCCAATGGACTTAAATAGCAAAATGTCCTCTGTCTATTTAAAGGAAATAGCGAAGAAAAAGAATGACAAAAAAGAGGCATATGTTAGGGATTTCACAAACATTTACTGGTCCCAAAATAGACCTGATGTTAAGAAGCAAAAGTTACAGAATGATAAAAAAACTGTAGAAGCGGAAAACATTTTTTCCAAATGTTATGAAAATGACTACCCATCACTCAGTAGCCAAAATACTTGTAAGAGAAAAGACTTGATCAGTTCAAACTACTGTAACTGCAGTAGTATCCAGTGTAATGTAAGAGACTCTAGAAAGAATTTCGCTATACTAGAAAATGCAAATTGGGAGGAAGCAGAATGTCTGGACAGTTACGTACTTACCAGGCTGGAAAAATCTCAAAACTGGGACTGTAACGTTAGACATATTTTGAGAAGAAATAGAGGAAATTGTTGGATTATAAATAATTGCAAGACTAAATGTGAAAATATGAAAAAAACTGAAGAAAAATGGAATTGGCTATTATTATTAGAAATAGACCTTTTAAGCAAGGAAGATTACCACTGTGCAAAAGTCATCAATGCATATGAAGAACAATCAAAGCTTCTCGTAAGAGAAATATTAGGTAGTCAGACAGCTTTAATAACGACTGTTTGGCTAAATGGTAAAGGAGAAAATGATAATACTCTACAGTTGAGATACAATACTACACAAAAAGTCTTTCATGTGAACAACCCTTTTGAAAGTTTCATTATAGAAATTTTTTATTTCCATAAAAGTATTTCAGGAAATAAAAAAGATAATAGTATTTTAACCTGCTGTAACATTTTGAAGTGTAAAAAGCAAATTGGTATAATTGGTATTCAAAATCTAATAACCAGAAACATGAATACAAATATAAAGAATGGAATTTTAAGCATATATTTACAAGATAGTGTTTCAGAACCTTTAGATATTCTATTGAAAACTAACATAGCTTTTTTGCTCAATAACTTTGACTCTTTAACAAGAATTGAAAATGATTTTGAATTAGAAGAGGAATGCATTTTCAAGTGCATGCTTTATTTGAAGTATCCAAAAAATATAGTGGAAAATCATACTGCATATCTAGTAAAGATTTTAACTTCTTCAAGACTATTAGAAGATAATATGAAACCTATGTTAAAGAAAAGGAAGTTATTTAGAACTGAACAAGTTTTTGAAAAGTCTAAGAAAAAACTCATTAATTCCTTCAGTATGACAACTCAAAATACAGGTTTTCCGATTTTTGAAACATATGAAAAAATTCCCCTTTTAATGGACTTTGATGACATGGATGAAATTTCTTTAATAAGAGAAATTACTTGTCAGAATATGAGTTGTCCTCAACAAGTTGTGAATGTGGAAAATTGGGCTCACTATAATTCTAGTACTGTTAAAGCACATGGTAATTCTTGTCCTCAATTTATACAGAACAACCGAGGATACATTAATGAAAATTTTTATGAAGTAAATATGCACAGCCAAGATTTAAATATGGAAAGAAAACAGGGACATAATAAGATCAGTAACTTTGACTGTGAGCACATATTTGAAGATCTCTGCAATGTTAGGCAACAGGCCATACCAGCAAGCCACAACATAATACATAATGAAGAGACCCATACCACTTCTATAACTCAAGTACTAAATTTTTGGAACTTGCTAAGTGAAATAGAAGAAAAAAAATATGACTTAATTTTGAAAGAGGAAGTAAAAGTCACAGCTGAAAGTTTAACAAATAGTTGCCAAGTTCACAAAGATACTAAGATAGAAAAGGAAGAGAAAGATAGTTTTTTTCCAATGGATGACATGTTTTCTGTACAGTCAGTTTCATTAATAAGTAAGGAAGTAAATGTGGAAGAAAATAAATATGTTAATCAAAATTATGTAACAAATACAAATGAATATGAGAGTATTTTGCCAGAAAGGGAGATAGCTAATTCAAAGGATTTTCACAGAAAGAATGACTCTGCATTATATATTAATCATCAATTTGAAACTGGTCTGAGTGAAGGGAATGATGAATGTTTTCAGGACTTAGCTGCTAAATATTTATCAACAGAAGCTCTGACAATAGTAAAAGATTTTGAGATGAAGAGAAAATTTGACTTAGTACTTGAAGAACTTCGTATGTTTCATGAAATTAGTAGGGAAAATGAACTTCTAAGCACTGTGGAAACAAACAATGGGCAAGAAAATTACTTTGGAGAAAATGATGCTGAGAAGGTAAAAATGGAGATAGAAAAAGATTTGAAAATGGTTGTGGTCAACAAAATACGTGCATCTTCCTCGTTCCATGATACTATAGCAGGTCCTAATATGGGCAAAAGTCACCAAAGTTTATTTAAATGGAAAACTGTACCCAATAATGGAGAACAGGAAGTTCCTAATGAGAGTTGTTATCCAAGTAGATCAGAGGAAGAATTACTTTACTCTACTTCTGAGAAAGGTATGAAATTCATTTTAGAACATTATTTCTCATGCTAGAAAAATTACTGCTTTTTTCTGTGTAGGCCAAATGTATAATTTTGACAACAAAGAAGGAAGGTAGAGATAAAATGCAAGACAATGTTTATTGATGCACACTATTTTCTTTCTTTTTTTTTTTTTCCAGCAAGAAGCCATAGCTTTATTTATGATAGAAACAATACAAATTTCAAAGCAAGCTGCAGTTACTCCTTGGAAACACCAAGAAAAAAAAAAAAGGTGTTTTCATACAGTTACATTGTTAATTCCACAATAGCATTTACCACATATCATTACTTGTACTTCAGGGCTCAGACTGCCTTTGCTCTCGACACATTTGCTTCTGGCATGACCAATTCTATGTCCTTAACTTCTTTTTTTTGAGACAGAGTCGAGCTCTGTGGCCCAGGCTGGAGTGCAGTGGCACAATCTCGGCTCACTGTAACCTCTGCCTCCTGGGTTCAAGTGATTCTCCTGCCTTAGCCTCCAGAGTAGCTGGGATTACAGGCGACTGCCACGACACCCAGCTAATTTTTGTGTTTTTAGTAGAGATGGGGGCTTCACTGTGTTGGCCTGGCTGGTCTCGAACTCCTGACCTTGTGATCCACCCCCCCCGCCGCCCTCGGCCTCCCAAAATGCTAGGATTACAAGCGTGAGCCACCACGCCAGGCCTTATGTCCTTAACTTCTACACCTGTTTCATCAACCTCTTCCTCTTCACTCTCCTCTTGTACAGTTGGAGTCTGTGTGTTTTCTTGAATGTTTGAGACAGCTTCACCTTGAACTTTGACACAGCTTCACCTTGAAATTTGAATTTCTCAGCAGCTGCTAGCTGGGTGCACACTATTTTCTCATAAAGATGTATTCAAATGTTCAATAATATACTGAAGTTGAAGGAAACAAGTTAATTTTAAAAAGGAGCTTTGAAGAGTCCTACTTCATTTTTCTAAATATTAGGAGCCAACTGAAGGAAATATTTCTGAAAATATAATTTGTTTATACCATTAATATTTTATATAAAAGTTACTTTTTGCTGTAACATATCACTCTTTATTTTCAGATTGTGAAACACCTTTACCTAAAAGACCTGCTTTTCTCCCTGATGAATGTAAAGAAGAATTTAATTATTTATTGAGAGGAGGTAACATTGTGGTTACTTTTTAGGATAACTTCTAAGATGATTATTGCATTATGGTATTTTTAGTATGAGGAAAGTATAGATATTCATGTTGTTCAAAATAAATACAAAGTTTTAGCACCTTTTAAGAGCATTAATATTATACTGATAAATTCTAATAATTAAAAATTTGGTAACAGTTAAAATGCTATTTAGAATATTATTGGGAAATGCACTCTGCAAAACTACGTTCAGATATTTGTATTGATGTATTAAAGTGACTATATGTTAAGTGTTGCATATGCCTAGTTTACACATCTAATAGAGATGTGTAATAGGGACCATGCTCTCTGATAGAGAGCATGCTCTATGCTTCTCATTGTTATGAAGCTTTTATGTGGACATTTTATTATGTGAATAAAAAATATTTGCCATTTAGTCATGTCAACATGATTTTTGACTGATGTTTATACTTTCGATTACATTAAAAATACAACTAGGCCAGGCACGGTGGCTCACGCCTGTAACCCCAGCAATTTGGGAGGCTGAGGTGGGCGGATCACGAGGTCAGGAGATCAAGACCATCCTGGCTAACACGGTGAAAACCCATTTCTACTAAAAATAATAAAAATTAGCCAGGCATGGTGGTGGGCACCTGTAGTCCCAGCTACATGGGAGGCTGAGGCAGGAGAATGGAGTGAACCCGGGAGGCGGGGCTTGCAGTGAGCCTAGATTGAGCCACTGCACTCCAGCCTGGGCGACAGAGTGAGATTCTGTCAAAAAAAAAAAAAAAAAAAAGCACACACTAAAGAAAAATTAAACAACTAACCTTATCTTTTGCCCAACAGATCTACAATATCAGAATAAAACACAGTATGTCTAACATTCATTCCACCTTGTGGTACCAAGGGTGTAGGGTAGGGGTAGGATTGAAATTATGGAACTAGGCAAAGTTATAATCCGGTCAGAAATTTCTGGTATTATACAACAAGGTTAGATCTAAAAAGAGTAACATTGTAGGTTAAATATATTTACTAAAACATCTTAAGTCATGCATCATGTCTCAAAACATTTTTTCTGCATTCTCGTAATCAGTAGAATGTTACCTCTGATACTTTTATTGTCACCTCAGAATTGTATCTTTTCCTCTTTTCTTAGCTTACAATGAAATAGTTTTAAAAATTAATCAAAACATTGGAAGATCAAAGCCCACAGGTAGTCTCTTCTCCCCGGGATGAAGGAAGTAACTGATGGAACAATACTCCATGAGTCAAAAAGTAGTATGGCAAGAATTAGCCTGAAAAGGATAGGGTTTGCTTCTTCTAGGGCAGAAAGAAAGGAAGAAATTGGCTTAGCAATATATTTTGATATAGAATAAAGGAAGATTAGGAGTATATCCTCATGCTGTCATTGTGATTATAATTGTGATAATAAAATGGATATAGGAGGAAGATAAAGTATGTGTGCACATTGGAAAAGCAATCATTACATTTGTTTGAAATATCTAAACCCATATAACAATGTGATTCTGCCTTCACAAGTTAAAATGACATGTTGTGAAATGTCAAAAATAATGTATGAATTCAGCCAGAATTATTTAATACTATGTTAGGAAGTAGATTCACTTTCAAAGGGTACAAAAGTTGAATGATCATCCTGAGGCTTGTTAAAATCCACAGTGTAAGAGAAAAGTTGGAAGATACTGGGGAATGGGGTTAATATGAATGGATTTTACTGATCTGCCTAGTTAGAGTGGTTGCCTGCTTATACACTGTCATTTTAAAGGCATCAGAAAGATCCCAGTTATCCTGAAAAGTTTTGATACCCACCCACCTGCCATCATGATGCCTCTTCTCTTAACGTTTCCGTTGACTACTAAATGTCTTCAATGAATCCCTTCTCTCTTTCCATCTCTCTCTTCTCTCTGTGGTGTGAAGGCAAGTACAGTATTGAAATTATTTTGAGCACATGTTGTATGCCAACCAGCCAGTTCACTGGCGCTTTATATATCATTTAGACCAATGGAGGAGGATCTTGTGATCCAACAATGTTGTCTTATTTAAACAATCCCTTTGTGTTTCAAAGTTTTTAAAAGATCTAGCAATAATGTATTTTTCTTTAACCTTTAATAATTAATTTTCTAATTTTAATATTGAATAGAGTATAATAAACTGATTTTATCTATTTTGTGTTGTTTTTCTCCCTGTTTATTATACATGTAGCTTAATTCTGTATTCTACTTCATTAAAGTTTACATAGATACATACAGATTCTTTTTGGTTCAGGTTAGTAAAAATCATACTGCTAACCTTTTGTCAGATTTAACATTTGATTACACTGTTTTTAGTATAACAGGCTATTATATTGAGGTCATACTGATTCAATAAAGTTTGATTTACATTTTTGGTTTTATATATGTACCCCACAGTTTGGTTTTACATATGTACCCCACAGTTTATTTAAAAAACCCTGAAAGTTAGAGATATTGTATTTTATTATCAGAGGTAGTTGATTTTACATAACTGATTTAGTAACAGATGTATGTATCTCCATGAACTGTTTTGGACATCTTCGAAAATGATATAGTATAATGTTAAATAACAACTTCCAACTCAGAGCCCTCTATTGATGCATAATAGATGGAGTGCATTTGTGTTCTATTATTGACAATAACCTCCATTAGAAACCAAACATAACCATTAACCATACAGCATAGTTGTTTAGCTACCAATAGAAAAAATGACCTGGTGTTTAAAGCCACAACATCAAGTTGGCTTTAAAACCTATATGGTTTTGTTGTGATGGTTGTTAAGTTAGACTGCCTGATTGGAATGCTGACTTTATTTAGTTGCTATATTTTATGGGGCAAGTTACTTAACTTTTTGTGCTTATGTTTTTCATATTTTAAAACTGGAGCTAGAAATAAGTAAAATAATGCATTTAAAGTATAGTGTCTGGCACATAAATAATAAGTGCTCAGTAAATATTCAGTAAAAGTTGCTAATATCATGATTAGAAGTAAAGATTTTTAGGCATAGAAACTATTGATAATTTTTACTTTTATTGTCTTATATTTTTAGGTAGTCACTTTCCACATGGCATTTCAAGAGTACGACCGCTTAAGACATGCAGTAGGCCAATCAGGATTGGTTTGTCAAGAAAAGCAAGGATTAAACAACTTCATCCTTATCTGAAACAAATGTGTTACGGAAACTTAAAAGAAAATTTTTGACTTTCATATTTCAAAACATTTTACAACATCTAGAAATGTTTTGTTTTCTTTGGATATATGTTCTTCCAGCTTGGGGGTTTGGGGCTTGCTTTATTATAAAGTGGAGAAGTTTTTTTTTTTGAGTGTATAAATTATGGTATTACCTTTCAAAGTTATAAAATATTTTATGGATTTTTATATGATATAAAAATGTACACATTAAAGCCGTTTCATTATTGGATAAAACATGTTGACTTATTATTTTTCATGATATATGCATACAATCCTTTTGTGGAGAAAATTGATAGCCTTTATTTTCTTGAAAGGATCTGTGGCTCATAATGAACTACAGTTCTAATCCACTTCCCCCGTTTTTCAGGTGAAAAAATGGAGGCACAGAGAGGATGAATAAGCTTTTCAAGATCACAGCATTTGTATTAAGATTGGAATAAAGGCTCTCTCCTCTGTAACATTCTTTCCTACTTTTTTCTGCACTCACTTTCTAATCTTTATTTTTCCTTCCAGAGTCTATCTTTGACCCCAGAGCAGAGTTATGATTATGTAGTTAATACTTACTATTAATTTGTTCATTCATGGAACAAATCTACTGTAATACTCCTACTATTGTCTTAGGCTTAGTGATAGAATAAAGAAGACATGTGTAAGACTTTGCCTTATGGAGCTTACTTTCTATGCTTGACATTGGTAGAAAAATGTAGGATATACATAATTTATTTATTTATTTATTTATTTTATTTATTTTAAGACGGAGTTTTGCTCTTATTTGCCCAGGCTAGAGTGCAGTGGGGCAATCTCAGCTCACTGCAACCTCCACCTTCCGGGTTCAAGAGATTTTCCTGCCTCAGCCTCCCAAGTCGCTGGGATTACAGGTGCCCACCACCACTCCCAGCTAATTTTTTTGTATTTTTAGTAGAGACAGGGTTTCACTGTGTTGGTCAGGCTGGTCTCGAACTGCTGACCTCGTGATCCACCTGCTTCGGCCTCCCAAAGTGCTGGGATTACAGGTGTGAGCCACCGCGCCCGGCTGGATATACATAATTTAAAGGTA